>NC_000004.12:81345623-81497138 GCF_000001405.40 Homo sapiens | reverse complement strand
TGAGGCATAAGAATCGCTTGAACCCAGGAGGCAGAGGTTGCAGTGAGCTGAGATTGCACTGCTGCACTTCAGCCTGGGCTACTGAGCAAGACCCTGTCTCAAAACAAAATATAAAACAAAAACAAAACAAAGAACCCTAAATTAGTAATTCTAGTTCAAAGGTCATTTCCTCAGAACCACCACCCTCAACTAGGACATATACCTCTTACATGCTTTTTTAAAAAAAATCTTATCATAACATTTTGAATCTTTCCTTCATAGTTCTTACAAGAGTTTGTAATTTTATATTTATTTGCAATTATTTGATTTAAGTGTATTTCCTTGTTAGACTTTAAATTTTAAGATAGCAGAAGCTATGTCTACTTTTGCTATTACTTAGCCTGTTACATAGTAGGATTATAATATATACTGAATGAATCAATATTAGAATGACTTAATTAATAAGTGAACCCTTATCTATCTAACTTCAGAATTTGAAAGCTTCACTTTAGACAGAAAAATTGCTTTTTAAATTAAATCCTAGGTGAGGGAATATACAAAGTGATACACAGTCTGCAACACTGAGTAGTGCTAAACAAGCTACCTGGGTTTGAATCCCAGCTCCACTACTTTTTAGCCATTTGATCTTGGACATGTTCCTTAACCTCTCTGTGTCTCAGTTTCTTCATTTGCAGAATAAAGATAATAAGAGAACTCACCTCATACAGTTACGAGGATTAAATGAATGTGCAACTTCTCAGAATAGCACGTGGTACTTAGAATGTTCTGTGTATGTGTTGGATATTATTATTACTCAGTAACTTACTTGGTATACAGAAATATCCCAGGCTAATTTCATTTGAAGACCCCTATGGGATAGCATTTATTCATTGACTCAAACCACCTGTTCTGGTCCTTCTGGTTGGAGGATCCTAAAGGTGTTCATCTTAAAGAAGGTCTTTTCTCTTTCAAGAAGAAAATACCCAACATGAATCCATCTTGAGATTTTTACTAATATTTTACTCTACAAATTTAGAAAGGAAATATTTAGTGAAGATAAATAATGTGTAAATTTTGAGCATATATTCCCTTAAAAAAGTCTCTAATACTCTCCCATTGGGCCGACATCCTCTATGATCTTTATTGGTAATTGTGGAATGAGGCATAGCAATCGGAGGGCCTGAACAGAGTTACGCAGTTCCAGATCCATCACAGCTCAGCCACCTAGTAGCTGCTTCTTGTTCACTTCCTCAATTAGAAAATGGAGATTACATTGACTAGATTGTTGTGATGATTACATGAGATAAAGCCATAAAGACCTTGGTAGGTCAAAAATGCTTAGTAAAACTTTTCCGTAACATCCCTCCACTCTTATACTTCTACTTATAACCATCCCAACTAAGACTTGATCACCACTCTCCTATGCTTTTGTGCTTTCTCTGATCACTTCTTTAATGTTTCTCCAGCCTTCCTATGACTGGAGTAACCAGGTGATCCCTCTCCTTCACATTTTCCATAGGCTCTCAAGGCCAAGTAATAGAAGTAAAGTAGTAGAAAAATGAGTCATTCAGTCAAAACATGTGAATGAGAATTTGTCTTCACTTCTACTTCTGACTGGCTACTTGATTTTGAGCAAGTTACTTAACCTACCTAGGTTTCCTTTTGCTCTTCTGTAGGAGTGAGACTCCATGAAGCATGTTCTGGAATCAGCTTTTTCCCCCCTCTGCCCTATCTGTTTATATCTGTGTCATAATTGCAGTAACAGTAGTACAACTTTCATTTATACTTTCCAAAGTCTTTTACATTTATTGTGTTATTTGGCCACTATATCAACATTGTGAGGTATCCCAAGTTAGGCACTCCACCTCCAGATAAAGAAATTGAGAGCTAAGCCAGAGAAAGAATGTTTGACTTGTCAAGGTCACAGAGACCCTAGAACCCATATATTTCACTGTGGTAGGTCAGGCTTTTATGGTGCATCTATCGTATGCATTGCACTGGACAAAGTGCTAATGATAACAGTCCCATACTTTTTTGTAATAGAATCCATGCACAAAGATAAGTGATAACCCAAAGTAGTAGATGCTAAGAGGCAAATGAGCAAACCACAGTTACTTTTTATCTTATTGATTTGCCTGTGAAAAAATAATTCCGCCGGGCGCGGTGGCTCGCGCCTGTAATCCCAGCACTTTGGGAGGCCGAGGTGGGCGGATCACAAGGTCAGGAGACTGAGACCATCCTGGCTAACACGGTGAAACCCTGTCTCTACTAAAAATACAAAAAATTAGCCGGGTGTAGCCGGGTGTGGTGGCGGACGCCTGTAGTCCCAGCTACTCGGGAGGCTGAGGCAGGAGAATGGCATGAACCTGGGAGGCGGAGCTTGCAGTGAGCTGAGATCGGGCCACTGCACTCCAGCCTGGGCGACAGAGCGAGACTCCGTCTCAAATAATAATAATAATAATAATAATAATAATAATAATAATAATAATTCCTTATTTTCTTAGATGAAATTTTCTCCATCATTGTGTGAGATAGCGTTTCCCTCTCTTGGATTCCATGGAGAGCTTGATGGGAGAAAAAGATTAATTTTACTTTGACACCATTACTTCAGTATCATGTAAGCACATGCCTTGGTTTGGATATCTTTCAACAGTGGTCTGTTTGGCTTTAAATAGTGCATGTTTAAGTGTAATCTAAAACTTTGTAATTCTGTAAAGCAACAAAAATCAATATTGAAAATTATCATGAGAAGGTTTTTTTTCTGAGTTTTTTCCCTGAGTCTATTTTTAGGACTAAGTATATGAGAAGTATGCAGAGTTTCAGTTTCATTTTTAGCGAAACTGGTAAGTAATAGAATTGATTCTGAAACTCCACAGCAAGAATAAGGGATATAAGACTGTCTGGGATACTTTCTACTTAAAAACATGCATTTCCCATGGCTTTTGATAGGGATTTTCCAAAATTTTTAGATTTTTGAATATGTGCTATATTTATGCTGTTCAAACACAATAAAATATGACAAACTGTCTTGTGAAAAGTTTCCTTCCTGTTTCTCCCACCCACTGTCTTACACCCACCAAGTTCCCATCCCCTCCCCTAAATAGCTAACTACTTACCAGTTCCTTATTTATCTGACCCCAATTTTTCATGTATAAAATATTACAGTACAAATATATATTCCTTCTTGTTTCCTTTTATAAACAAAGAAACAAACAAACAAACGAACAAAAACAGGGTCTTGTTCTGCCTCCCAGAGTAAGACCTGTGCTCAAGTGATTCTCCTACCTTAGCCTCCTGAGTAGCTGGGACTACAGGCATGCACCACCACATCCAGTTAATTTTTTAAAACATTTTTTTCTTACTATGTTGCCCAGGCTGCTCTCTAACTCCTGGTCTCAAGTGATCCTCCTGCTTCAGCCTCCCACAATGTTGGGATTACAGATGTGAGTCATCATACCTGGTCTCCCTCTTTTATATATATTGTAGGATACTCTACATAATGATTCTATATATTTTTTCACTAAACAATATATTAGCATTCCATATCAATACGTAGTGTCCCTGTGGTTTCCTATTATACTGCAAAGTGTTTGATTCTGTTATTACATTTTATTTATTAAATAAATACAATTTATTCATCGAATTCACTAATGATGGATAGTTGCTTCTAATCTTTTCTCATAATGGAATGAGTAATGTTCTTTATGTGATATTTCACATAATGAGTGGAAGGTATCTATACAATAATTTTCCTTAGTTGGTATTATTTGATCAAAACATATATGCATTCGTATTCCTCCACTATGGTAGATTTTCTTATGAGTTAAAGGAAATCTTATGAGTTAAAGGAAAAGATCTCAGAATTAGTTTTAATTTACAATTTTGCTATTGTGAGTGAGAGTGACCCTTTTTTATCAGTATAAAAGCCTTTTCAGGTACAAACTGTATGTTTATGTCTTTTTCTGATTTTCTATTGGATTATTAGTGATTTTCACTTAGTAACAGTACAGTAAATAAGTGTATATTCATCATTTCCTAAATTTGCTCTGGTTATCTTTTTTTTTTTCAAGAAGATACTCATTCTTGACTCCTTTTTATTTGAAGCTACAGGTGTAGAATTGTGGCAATCACGTATGAGTCATACACCTTTTTTCATTCTGTTCTTAGGATTTGGCCAAAGTCAAATTCAAACAAATAGAAGTATAACTATACCCTAAATCCTTCTCTTTCTATAGCATTCCTCCACATGGTTAAAATTTGCTCAGTATCTTTAAAACAACAACAGTTACAACCAAGACAAACTCCTGATCTTTCTTTCACCTTAAGTAATTTTGGAATCTTTCTACCAGTCATTAAAATAAGAACTGGAAGAACTGGTAATGTGAAAAGAAAAACAGAGAGTGAATTGTCTGCAGCATAACTAATGTAACACTATAGCTGAATGATTGTTTGCTCATTTTTCCTTTCTCAGAAGTTTGAAAATGATTCTTTTCCCATTGATATGTAGTTTTCAGAAATTTGCAAAGCAGTGGCCTATTGTGATTTCTCTAAAGATGCTATAAAATTAACCTGTTGGCTTCATAGTACGCCATGTAGTATGAAAGGAAGAAGTATGAAAGGAAGAAGATGAGGTTGACTGTAAGCTGAATGTTAATTAACTAATAATTAATTAATTCAGCATGTAATATTGAGTAGTAATTATGAGCCAAGCCATCTGCTCAACTCTGAGAATATGTAGTAGTAAATAAGGAAGGTGTACCCCTTGCTTTTCAGAGCTTATATTCTAAACCAGTTCCTTTTTACCCCAGTTAACACATGAAAATCACCTGGGGAGCTTTACAAAAATACCAATCCCTTTGTCCAAGTCAAGAATTTCTAGGGGTATAACTCAGGAACAAATATTTTTTTAAAACTCCCCAGTGATTTCTAAGTGAAGACAGAGTTGAAACCACTAGTCTAGCCAGACCTCAGAGATAGCTAGGAAACCACACAATATTTTGAAGAGGAAGTGGTCATGGAAATTTTGATGTGAAGTAATATGAACTACGTAGCATTGACTTGGAAACATTCTTGCCACAATGTTTCACTTAAAAGCAATAGGGGCATAAGACCTGCATTCCAAGGTATAGATAACAGAGAGGATAGAAGAACAAGTTAAATGACACTTTGAGGAAAAATATCAAACAAGTTCAGAAATTGGTACTAAGCCAAATGTCCTGGCTTCTTCAAAAAAGACAATGTCAAGAAAAGCAAGAAAAGGTTGGAAATGAGGTAAGAACTGATAAAAATTAAAAGAGAATAAAGAAACACCAACCAAATATAACACATGAACCTTGAGTATATCCTGGTTCAAAATGTCCTTGGGAACAATTTAGGAAATTTAAATATGTACTAGAAATTAGATCATATTAGGGATATTAGGGGATATTGTTGCTTTTTTTTAGGTGACAATTATATCATTATCTATGCACAAGAATGTCCTTATTTATATATATTTTCTCGAGATGGAGTCTTGCTCTGTCAACCAGGCTGGAGTGCAGTGGTGTGATCTCGGCTCACTGCAACCTCCACCTCCTGGGTTCAAGCGATTCTCCTGCCTCAGCCTTCTGAGTAGCTGGGATTGCAGGTGCCCGCCACCACGCCCAGCTAACTTTTGTATTTTTAGTAGAGACGGGGTTTCACCATGTTGACCAGGCTGGTCTCAAACTCCTGACCTCTTGATCCACCCGCCTCAGCCTCCGAAAGTGCTGGGATTACAGGCGTGAGCCACCGTGCCCAGCCAAGAATGTCCTTATTTTTAAAAGATTCACATTAAAGTATTTTTATGGGTGTCTGCAACTTTCAAATGGTCCTTCAACAACACAAAATGAAATCACACATATAGATAAGCAAATATAGTCACACTTTTTAAAGGTGTTTGGAAGAGGCCGAGGTATTAAAGATGAAAGAGGCTACTGAATAGTGATGATAATTATATTTAATTAGCTACAATTTCTTGAGTAAGTTCTATGTTCCAGATAAGGTGCTAATGACATTATATGCATGATTTAATTTTATTTTTAAAATAAGCTTGATTATTTTAATCTTATGAATAAGAAAACTGAAGCTTGGAATGATTGAACCACTTGTTCAAGTTCACACTGAGCTACATTTGAACCAAGCTCTTCCTGTTTCCGTTGTGGGTGATCTTGATCATTACGCAGCTTTGCTTCCACCTTAAACTGCAATATAAGCACTGAGGTAATGGAAAGCCCATTTGCTTTGGATTTACTTCAGTTACAGCACTTATTACAATGCAAATTCACCTAATTATTTATGTGTCTGCTCCATAGACTGTGTCCTCCTTGTCATACAAAGAACATAATCTTTGGTATCAGGCCCAGCTGGGTCCAAATCTTGGCTTTGTAATTTATTAGATATTTGTTCTTAAGCAATTTATAAACACTTTTTCTGAGCTTCAGGTTTCTCTTCTGTGAAGATAGAGATACTACTAGATGCTGCATAGGGATTGTTATGCAGATGACATAAATATATGTGGAAAGTACTTAGCACAATCCCTGGCATATACATATATACATACATATAGTGCTCAATAATGTTAGTCATTCCCTACCCACCCCACCTTCCCTGAAATTTAATTTGTATGGCTATAAATAATTCCTGCTTATACAGGAAAAACCCCTGATGTTCAAAGTGATTGCCAATGCTGGATCCCCCAGTCACTTGAAGCAACCATTAAGTATCAACTTGGCATCAGGGACTATGGCTTTGAATCCCTAAAAGCTACAACAGAACTTAACTAGTATTCAAAACTATGTGTTTATTAGTGTTAGGCCATCAGTATCATGGTCATTATGATTTATTTATTAAGGCTGTGCTAGGTATTAAATTTTTCCTCTAGGAACTTAAAATTAGGATATTTTCAAAGGGTTTCTAAAACTTAGGCAGAAATAGTTATTAGTAATCTATTTTGGGACTATGCAAGTTCATTCCAGGTAAGTGGAATAGTACGAAGAAAGTCATAGACATGGGAAAACTTAGGATCTTTTTCCCCCAAAGACACGCAGTCCACTCAATTGAATTACTGTGTATATAGAAGTGTAAATAAGAGAGGCCAGACACTGTGGCTCACACCTGCAATCCCAGCACTTTGGGAGGCCAAGGCAGGTAGATCACCTGAGGTCAGGAGTTCGAGACCAGCCTGACCAACATGGTGAAACCCCATGTTGAAACCCCATGGTGAAACTTTACTAAATACAAAGCAATTAGCTAGGCACGGTGGTGCATGCCTGTAATCCCAGCTACTTGGGAGGCTGAGGCAGGAGAATCACTTGAACACAAGAGGTGGATGTTACAGTGAGCTGAGATTGCACCATTGCACTCCAGCCTGGGCAACAGGAGTGAAACACCATCTCAAAAAAAAAAAAAAAAAAAAAAAAAGCCGTAAATAAGAGATAAGATTGGAAAGTTTGGTTAAGAATCTTGATTTCTTAAATATAGCAAACCCATGTCAGTTTGGGAGCCAATGAGCAATTCATGCTCTTGATATAGCACATATCAGTGGTAGTCTAGTAGAGCAGTATATTATATGTGAGTCTGTGTGTGTGGTGGGATGTGGTAATCAAGTAGGCGGTCATTTCTCTAATCTCCAAATCCAATGGGACCAGAAATGGCAAAAGAAAGTAGGAGACTTTGGGGGGTACAAAATAAGAGGATATAGCCACTAGCTAGATATAGGCAAGAAGCTTGAGAGAGGAGGTCAAGCTGACTCTGAAGTTTCATGCCTGTGTGGCCAGGAGAATAAAAATATCATGATCAAAAATGAGAAAATCATAAGGGGGACCTGGCTTGGGGGAGGTGAGAAATTTCCTAAGTAAATTATGAGTTTGTTAGACCTCACCTCTGTGCCTTTTTAAAATGAGTCACTCTAAAACCCACCTTTAGAGGTAGGTCATCATAAGGCTGAAGGCTTAAAACAGTGAGATTTATCTCTTCTTAGGTAGCAGAGCAGGGCACCTAACATCTTTAGGAGCCAATAAATGGGCACAGAACAAAGGAAAGGGCTTTCAAAGTTTATATTTGGGCCAGTAAGCACAGATTAGCCCAGAATACCCCTAGCCTGAAGCTTATGGGTGATCCATGGCCCCTGGGGTCTATAACTCAATTTTCTTTATGGATAGGCTAGTTGAAAAACAGGGGAATAAGGTCAGGTGTGGTGACTCATAGCTGTAGTCCCAGCACTTTGGTAGGCTGAGGCAGGCAGATCCCTTGAGCACAGGAGCTTGAGACCAGCCTGGGTAACATGGCCAAATCCTGTCTATACCAAAAAATACAAAAATTAGCTGGGTGTGGTGGCACATGCCTATAGTCCCAGATACTCAGGAGGCTGAGGTGGGAGGATTTCCTGAGCCCAGGGAGGTCAGACTTGTAGTGAGCCATGATGGAGTCACTGCACTATAGCCTGGGGAACAGAGTGAAACCGTGTCTCAAAAAGGAAAGAAAGAAAGAGAGAGAGAGAGAGAAGAAGCAAGGAAGGAAGGAAGGAAAAGGAAAGGAAGAGAGAAAGGAAAAAAGAAAGGGAATAATTCTGGAAAGTGAGTTTTGGGGAGGTAGGTAGTAGATTTAAAAATGCAATATATTTTGTCTCATTTATTTATTCAATTGATATTGAGCATCTACTAGATATCAAGTATTGTGGGCATTAGGGTTTAGACAAAATTTTTGTTAGTGTGTACTTTTTATTCTAATTATCCTATTATAATTTATATTCTATTTCCTTGTGGTTTTGATTTGCATTTCTCTAATGATCAGTGATGAGGAGCTTTTTTTCTTGTTTGTTGGCCGCATAAATGTCTTCTTTTGAGAAGTGTCTGTTCATATCCTTCACCCACTTTTTGATGGGTTTTTCTGTTTTTTTCTTGTATATTTGTTTTAAGTTCTTTGTAGATTCTGGATATTAGCCCTTTGTCAGATGGATAGATTGTAAAAATTTTCTCCCATTCTATAGGTTACCTGTTCATTCTGATGATAATTTCTTTTGCTGTGCAGAAGCTCTTTAGTTTAATTAGATCCCATTCATCAATTTTGGCTTTTGTTGCCATTGCTTTTGGTGTTTTAGTCATGAAGACTTTGCCCATGCCTACGTCCTGAATTGTATTGCCTAGGTTTTCTTCTAGGGTTTTTATGGTTTTAGGTCTTATGTTTAAGTCTTTAATCTATCTTGAGTTAATTTTTGTATAAGGTATAAGGAAGGGGTCCAGTTTCAGTCTTCTGCACATGGCTAGCCAGTTTTCCCAACACCATTTAGAGAAATGCAAATCAAAACCACAGTGAGATACCATCTCACTCCAGTTAGAAGGGTGATCATTAAAAAGTCAGGAAACAACAGATGCTGGAGAGGATGTGGAGAAATAGGAATGCTTTTACACTGTTGGTGGGAGTGTAAATTAGTTCAACCATTGTGGAAGACAGTGTGGAAATTCCTCAAAGATCTAGAACCAGAAATACCATTTGGCCCAGCAATCCCATTACTGGGTATATACCCAAAGGATTATAAATCACTCTACTATAAAGACACATGCACATGTATGTTTATTGCAGCACTATTCACAATAGTAAAGACTTGGAACCAACCCAAATCCCCATCAATGATAGACTGGATAAAGAAATTGTGGCACATATACACCATGGAATACTATGCAGCCATAAAGAAGGATGAGTTCATGTCCTTTGCAGGGGCATGGATGAAGCTAGAAACCATTGTTCTCAGCAAACTAACACAAGAACAGAAAACCAAACACCGCATGTTCTCACTCTTAAGTGGGAGTTGAACAATGAGAACACATGGACCCAGGGAGGGGAACATCACACACCGGGGCCTGTCATGGGGTGGGGGGCTAGGGGAGGGATAGCATTAGGAGAAGTATCTAATGTAGATGATGGGTTGATAGGTGCAGCAAACCACCATGGCACCTGCCGGATAAATTATTACTCCAGAAGTAGAACTTCCATCATTGAAGGTGAATCTCAAGTCTGCTTAAATCAGACCCAGAGTGGAGGTATTATTATGCCATAGTCCATTTAATTGCAGCCACTGTATTTAGTACAAGCCGAAGCCTTAGGGAAAAGTCAAAGCAGATTCCCAGGGGATCTTTTGGGCATCATAAAGATTAGCATAATGCAGATATTGAGCTTCAGAGAAAAGATATGACCATAATCCCTAATATCAGTGTGGTTAGGTCAAGTCTATCACTTCTGGGCCTCTGCAAGCCTCTTGGCTGTTAAGGTATCCAGATGGAACCAGCCTAATCCCCTCATTTTACAGTTGAGAACACCAAGAATCTGAAATGTTAGCTTCTCCCACAGCAAAGCCAGTATGGCAGGTTCCTGTATTTGTTCCTACACTGTCTAGAGTCTCTTTGAAATATCCGCCAAAGGCTCTTTCTCCCCAGGTGAGACAATGAGTCCCTTCCACTGTTTGCTCTCAACAGGTTGTCCTGTTTTGCATTTCCTCCCTCCTTCTGTGTGCTCTGGAATGAGTTCTGCTAGCCTTTGTGCAAATGACTCATTTCAATATGCTGGTTGTTTCTTCCTAAAAGAATTGTTTAACAGGTTCAAACATTGCCTCCTTGAAGCATGGGTTGTTACTCTTAAATTTGAAGTGAAAAATTTCTACCACAATGTAGTTTGCAGATCTTAAAAGAGCAAGGATGGAAGGAAGGAAGGAAAAAGGAATTAAGAAAGGATCCCAAAACTCCTGTATTCACATATGAAGCCTACTAGGTATCTTGTCAAGTGAGATGTGCCTCAGGTTTATCATTGTGATAAACTTGGAAGGGTTTGTTCTGGCAGGATATATGCTTTTTTTTCTCACCTATGGAAAGACACAGAACAAAATTCATGTTCATTTTGTTATTGTTGTTGTGTGTTCTGAATCAAAGGATGGCAATATATCTGTCATTAGCCTTAATGCAAGAGCAAGAACAGGACTAACCAAAACTGTATCTGTTTAGTGATGTTTTCAAAAGTATGTCTTAGTTCAACTATTTTGGAGAAAAATAAAACTTCTTAGTATTTTTGAATTTAGGAATTTGGGTTTGTGATTGCCTTTTATAAACAGCTGGTGTTTGACTTTTTAACTTAAGAAGGCAGGGCATTCAAGAGTTTGAGTTCTTAAAAAAAAACAACAAACAGACTAAAGACACGTATTTATCTATGGAATTTTATCCAGACTAAGATATTTTATTTTGCCCTTGGCTATGACTTTCTTGCTGTGAGAGATGTTAAATTCATACATTAGTCTTTCTTAGACTTCTTTCCTTACATACTTAGGAGATAATCTCTTTTAAATTATTGAGCAATAGTCTAGGTCAGAAAATGCCTCATCTCTTCAACACTTTCCAAACTCCACTTCAAGCAACAGTCATATTCTTCCACCCCGTCTCCTCTCCCAAATACATCTCCAAACACACTCCTTGACTGTCATGACAGACCTGAAGTAAATGAATCATCCCCCTAATAAGAAGACATATCCTTACATTCAACCTCCATTTCACTTTAGTTCTTGACCGCTCTTCAGAGACAGCTATTTGGAGACAATTATGTGGATACTTGTAGATTCTAAAATTATCACTGGTTAATTCCAGGCCCTGGAAACATTAATCACGTGCTAATGGTGTTAGCCTGTGGGAGAATTGACTTTAAAGCAGGTTTCAGTCACGAATCAAAGCTCATTTGTGTGTTAACTATGTGTCACAATGTACATCACTGTTTCAGAGGAGACACACACAATCACATCAAAAAACAAAAGGGGGCTAATTTGATAGGCTATGTGAGATGCATAACATTCTTTAACATACACATACACATAGAGTATATTTAACATACACATAGAGTATAATTTTGTACAGTGAAGCCAAATAAAATTCTCTGGACTATTGATTGACAGTTATACTTCATAAATGTGATTAATCAATGAGAGGAAAAAGGCAAAGCATAACATTATCAGTATATATTGCCTTAAAATGTAAGCTTTAAATATAGAAGTTTAAGGTTATGTAGTATAGGTACATGAAAATATCCAATTTTAATTATAAAATTCTTTAATTTTTTTGAAGAAACTTACAAAATAAAAAAGTATAAACACCCATCTACCTATGACGCACAAATGATAATAATGAGCATTTTGTCATATCAGCTTTATGTTGTTCTTTAGGAAAGAATTCAAACACTACACGTAAAATTGAAGTCCAATTCCCATTCCCAGAGATAGCCATCCTCTGTCTCTAGTGAAATACAATTAAATTACATAACGTTTCCTTTTATTTTTGTGTAGAAAATAGATTCAGCACTATGCTTTTCCATAACAATATCTAAATATTTTTTGCACAGAGATTCTGGCTTTACTACTGAAATCATCTGTGTGTCAAAATGAATGTTTAGACATTTTACAAATTTAAACTTCACAGAATCATTTAGAAATCACACAAAGACTTCAGGGAAATGCTCTAATAGTCTTGTGAAAATTATTTTATTATACAAAATAGAAAATATCTTAGGTACATGCTTTCATGGTGACAATAGTAAATGCTAATTAGAGAAGCTTTTTTGATTGACATAATTTCTTGAATTTACTTTTTGAAGTATAATTAATAGTTACTTTAATGTGGTTACTTTAATGATAAAGCCACTAAAGAGCTTACTATTTTACTACCTTGAACATTAAATCATAAATAGCATTAGCATCATTTAGAAAATTCTCATAAAATGTAATATCTAGAGACTTTATTTTATCAAGATATATTTAATAGAGAATAGTTGTCATCAATATTTGAAAACAAATTAAGCTTCTATAATGTCAAAGTAGCTCTATAGCTCTACCCCTGCAGGGATTATTAGGAAGTAAAATCATGTAGGATTTGAAGTCCTGGGATTATCTGTGCTCTTTGACTAGTATAACTTTGCTATTATCTTGTTGGCCTAGGAGAGATCATTTAATCTCTCTGGGACTCAGTTTCCTTGTTCAAAAATGCCTTGGTTGGTGGCACAGGGATAGGGAAAGATTAAAAGAGATGATCGTTAATACTTGCCCCAACTCTAAAATTTTATTATTGTATTACTCATTTTCTCCCTGTCCCTTCCTAGTCAATGTGCTAGATGATTAGTCTAAACCAAGGGGATCGTCTAGCAAAATAACCAGAGTTAACATTAAAGGCTACAAGAATCTGACTTAGTAAAACCTGTTCTTAATTCGTTATAAGACCAACTCATTAAGAAGAAACCAAAAACTGCTAGAGAGAGAAATTACACATAGAAAAATATAAGTATATTTACTATAAAGATTGTTTGGATGAATAATATTCATCTAAATAGATTCGTGTTAAACATATTTGAATTTCTACTCAAAACAGTAAAATGTCTAATCAAAATAATGCATGTTTAAGATTATTAAATGTTTCTTTGTCGGTACAGGGAAGGTAAGTTACTATGTGTTATATAATCAATGAAGAGGATGACTGTCTCATGACCTTGTGATCAGGCCAAGTTATATTACTTCTCATTATCAATATTCTTTCTGAGGGTGTTGCAAATAATTACTTTGTAAGAGTAAATAAGTATTGGCAAATGAGTAAAATAATGCTTATTTAAGAAAAAACAGTAAAGTTGCCTTTCAACAGTTCTTGTTTATAAATGAAGATATACTAATTTTTTACATCTTTTTAGGAGACTTGAAAACCTACCATCTGTTTTGGGATTTCCCATGTGGTTGTCACATTCTTTCCTACAACTTTAGGGTCTGGGAAGTAAAAAGTGACAGTGATGAAGAATCACTTGGATATGTTCACTAGACCTCCTGAAGTTATCTTTTTCAGCCAGTTCTCTTCTGTTTAGGAGTATCTTCTTAGCAAGTTTAAATGGATGGCTATCTATAATATTTTTAGTGATACCAGAAGAGAAAAGTATATGTCTTCTATAATGACCACTGTCAGAATTGAATGACCCTCACAGACCCCATGTTCTCCCTAAATGAGATAATGGATGTGAAAGAACACTGTAAACTATAACAAATGTTGGAAATTATTATTGAAATGACCATTCAAAGGCTGACCCCGTCATTTGTTTCATCACACAAATTCCTTCTAAGTGTCAGAATTCATTTTATAGTTATATTGGGATTGATGGCACTAGACAGGGACTCAGGATCTTGAATATGGAAGTCTTTGTGTCCTGCTGCGGTCATTCTTCCCATCAGATTTCAGGGCTATTGTATGTACAGAGGTTGATGCTAAACATATACACACACTTTTAAAAATTACTCTGAAGTTCCAGTATGGTCCCCTATTAATTTTATTATTATATTACTCATTCTCTCCCTTGTCCCTTCCTACTCCATGTGCTAGACATAGATTGGCAATTAGTCAAAACCAAAAAGATCTTCTAGTAAAATAATCAGACTTAACATTAAAGGCTACCAGAATCTGACTTAGATAAACCTGTTCTTAATTCTTAATAAGACCAACTTATTCAGAAAAAAAACAAAAAGTCTGACCCATGAACAGCCTTCCTTTCACTCAGGCTAGCGGCAGGAAGAGGGCATGAAACCAAAGCATGCCAAGCAGCTTCCTTCTCCTTTTGCTCTAGGCCCCAGACGATGAGGAAAGGGAAGTCAAGGAAAAGCATACTTAAATAGCAAGGGGAAAATAAGGGATTTCTCTAAAGTGTGGAGCTGGGTTGGTCTAATTATGGCCTAAGACCCCATAATCTTTTGTCATCATACAAGAGAGGCCGTGTACATCAGACTTATGAAAAATGGTTTGTGGGTTTTAGCTTTGAAAGTGAGAAGGCCTAGGCTGGGGTCCAGATTGACTGTTGATAGGTGGTGTGATCAATCCCGTTTTTTCCTTCCATTTACAATCTGAGGTTAAGATTACATATCCTTGAACTGTTCATCTCCATAATCCAGAGTGACACTGAGAAAATAAATGAAAGATAAAATGTGGAAGTGTTTTGGGGAGTTACATGGCCATTTCACAAGGCTCTTTAAGATATACACAGCGGGAATTTAATGCTGAAAAAGGATACCATTCTGCTACAGACATGTTTAATGTTTTTCTCACATTGAAGCCATAATCCATTCCCTTATACAATTCCCTTTTTAATCCTATCTAGTGTTCTGGTGCCTCATTCTTCTTTAAAATGATAAATTTTAAATATCTGAAGACAAACATGCTTGTGAGATTTTCATGGAAGGTTCAAGTGTTTTAAGGAAATTATAAACCACAAATACTAGTATTAAACTCGTGTCTCTGAAGAAAACTAAACTTGTGTCTTTGAGACAAATAACATCGCTTTGCAAAAAAAACTGGCTTCTAGTTTAATTTAAATACACATATCTATTAGTTTTAAACATTATTTCATAAGTCCCACAGTAATTGAATGAATTTTATGAATCGGGAAGGCAAGAGGATTAAACAGAGATATACAGATTTAATTCATGGCTTCTCCAGCTGAGTGTCCTTGGCCAGTGGCTTACTCTCCCGAGCCTCATTTCTTCCTCTCAGAAATGGAAATAATAGTACTTATCTCTCAGAGTTTTGGTGAGGATTGATAATACTGCGAATAAAAAATAGCTCCCTGCTAACAGGGAACTATTAACAGAGTTACACAGATGTGGTGAAACACTCAACAATGGATAAACAGAGTGAGCAACACCAACAAATATCAACATGGATAGATGATCAGAAGTCTAAGTTGCGGGGAAAACGAGAAACAGAATGAGACAGATTGCACAATAACATTTGTGTAAATACACTCATGTGTACTCACATAAGACAATACCATCATTGTTCATGAAAGGTGGATTGAAAAGTTCACACTAAATACTGTGTGATAAAATCTGGAATTTTAGATGGGGAATGAAAGGAACTAAAACAAAAGAAAGAGGGCTGGACATGGATTGGTCATGATGATTGCTGTAATTTTATGCATCTGAGCTACAAGAGGACTGGAAAAGAAAAAAATAATGCTTAGCACAGAGCCTGCCATATAGCAGAAATTCTAAATACAGGTGGCTGTTTTTTAATACTGGAGTGAGATACTACTTAGCAGATTTGCATCAATTTGATTGGCATTACTGAGCTTACTGACATTTACAGATAGGAGTTGAGCCAATGGAGTAAAAAGATCAGAAAGAAACTGAGGAATAGAGAAAGGAAATTTTTTTCATGATAGAAAATAATTCAGACATGATAATAACAGCAATTCGTTGTTGAGTACTTATTATGTGCTAAGCATTCATTTATTCAACCAACATATATTTACTAAGTGCTTCTTATATGTCAGACATTGTTCTAGACGTTGGAAATACAGCAGGAAAACAACGACTACAATGACTACAACAACATTCCCTGCTGTTATGGAACTTATATTCTAGTGAGAGGGGAGATGCAATAATAAGTAAAATATATAGTATGTTAAATGGCAATACGTCCTATGGAAGAAACAACAAGAAAGCAGGGAAGGGTTATACGGAGTGAGGGGTGACTGCAATTTTAAATAGGGAGTCAGGGAAGGCTTCTCTGAGGGACATTATTTCAAACTCATTTCATGTATGATCTCTTTTAGTCTTCTCAACACCCTATGAAAACGTTACTTTGATTAACCATGATGCTATTTTTCAGATGAGTAAGCTGGTCCAGAGTCCATCAGTACCTTTTCTAAGGCTTTATAGGTGGCTCTGTGAGAGAGATAGGATTAGGGGTCAGGATGCCTAGCTCCAGATCTGTCTCTTTATTTAACACTCGGCATACAGAAAGCTAGAAGGAACCCAGAGAGATCTGCCAAAATAGGGGGTGGGAATGCTGTTTGGAAAGCATTGCATTAATATTATCATGGTATCCATTGTACATCTTAAGAATCTAAAATAAACTTCTTTGTTGCGGGATACTTTAGAAAGTAAAACTGGGCAAAATCTTCTGGTCTGATGTCCACAGCCAGAGGTTACAAAGGATATGTCAGATATTCTCATTAAGAAATCCTGATTTTCTCCAACTCCTAATGTCTTTTTTATTATTATACTTTAAGTTCGGGGGTACATGTGCAGAACGTGCAGGTTTTTTACATAGGTATAAACGTGCCATGGTGGTTTGCTGCACACATTAACTTGTCATCTAAATTAGGTATTTCTCCTAATGGTATCCCTCCCCTAGCCACCCACCCCACAACAGGCCCCAGTGTGTGATGTTCCCCTCTTCATGTCCATGTGTTCTCATTGTTCAACTCCCACTTATGAGTGAGAAAATGTGGTTTTGGTTTTCTGTTCTTGCGTTAGTTAGCTGAGAACAATGGCTTCCAGCTTCATCCATGTCCTTGAAAGGACATGAATTCATCCTTTATTATGGCTGCATAGTATTCCATGGTGTATATGTGCCACATTTTCTTTATCCAGTCTAACATTGATGGGCATTTGGGTTGGTTCCAAGTCTTTGCTATTGTGAAGGATGCCGCAGTACACATACACATATATGTTTCTTTATAGTAGAATGATTTATAATCCTTTGGGTATATACCCAGTAATGGGATTGCTGGGTCAAATGGTATTTCTAGTTCTAGATCCCTGAGGAATTGCCACACTATCTTCAACAATAGTTGAACTAATTTACACTCCCACCAACAGTGTAAAAGCATTCCTATTTCTCCACATCCTCTCCAGCATCTGTTGTTTCCTAACTTTTTAATAATTGCCATTCTAACTGGCATGAGATGGTATCTCATTGTGGCTTTGATTTGCATTTCTCTAATGACCAGTGATGATGAGCATTGTTTCATATGTCTGTTGGCTGCATAAATGTCTTTTTTTGAGACGTGTCTGTTCATATTCTTTGCCCACTTTTTGATGGGGTTGTTTTTTTTCTGGTAAATTTGTTTAAGTTCTTTGTAGATTCTGGATATTATCCCTTTGTCAGATGGATAGATTGCAAAAATTTCCTCCCATTCTGTATGTTGCCTGTTTACTCTGATGATAGTTTCTTTTGCTGTGCAGAAGCTCTTTAGTTTAATTAGATCCCATTTGTCAATTTTGGCTTTTGTTGCCATTCCTTTTGGTGTTGTAGGCATGAAGTCTTTGCCCATGCCTATGTCCTGAACAGTATTGCCCAGGTTTTCTTTTAGGATTTTTATGGTCCTAGGTCTTATGTTTAAGTCTTTGATCCATCTTCAGTTGATTTTTGTGTAAGGTGTAAGGAAGGGGTCCAGTTTCAGTTTTCTGCATATGACTAGCCAGTTTTCCCAACACCATTTATTAAATAGGAAATCTTTTCCCCATTGCTTGTTTGTGTCACATTTGTCAAAGATCAGATGGTTGTAGATGTGTAGGGTTATTTCTGAGGTCTCTGTTCTGTTCCATTGCTCTATATATCTGTTTTGGTACCAGTATCATGCTGTTTTGGTTACTGTAGCCTTGTAGTATAGTTTGAAGTCAGGTAGCATGATGCCTCCAGCTTTGTTCTTCTTGCCCAGGATTGTCTTGGTTATGCGGGCTCTTTTTTGGTTCCATATGAAGATTAAAGTAGGTTTTTCCAATTCTATGAAGAAAGTCAATGGTAGCTTGATGGGGATAGCATTGAATCTATAAATTGATTTGGGCAGTATGGCCATTTTCACAATATTGATTCTTCCTATCCATAAGCACGGAATATTTTTCCATTTGTTTGTGTCCTCTCTGATTTCCTTGAGCAGTGATTTGTAGTTGTCCTTGAAGAGGTCCTTCACATCCCTTGTAAGCTGTATTCCTAGGCATTTTAATCTCCTAGTAGCAATTGTGAATGTGAATTCACTCATGATTTGGCTCTTTGTTTATCTGTCATTAGTGTATAGGAATGCTTGTGATTTTTGCACATTGATTTTGTATCCTGAGACTTTGCTGAAGTTGCTTATCAGCTTACAGAGATTTTGGGCTGAGATGATGGGGTTTTCTAAATATACAATCATACAATCATGTCATCTGTGAACAGAGACAATTTGACTCCTCTCTTCCTATTTGAATACCCTTTATTTATTCCTCTTGCCTGATTGCCCTGGCCAGAACTTCCAATACTATGTTGAATAGGAGTGGTGAGAGAGGGCATCCTTGTCTTGTGCCGATTTTCCAAGGGAATGCTTCCAGCTTTTGCCCATTCAGTATGATACTGGCTGTGGGTTTTTCATAAACAGTTCTTATTATTTTGAGATAAGTTCCATCAACACCTAGTTTATTGAGAGTTTTTAGCATGAAGGGGTGTTGAAGGTGTTGAAGGCCTTTTCTGCATCTATTGAGATAATCATTTGGTTTTTGTCATTGGTTCTATTCATGTGATGGATTATGTTTATTAATTTGCGTATGCTGAACCAGCCTTGCATCCCAGGGATTAAGCCAACTTGATCGTGGTGGATAAGCTTTTTGATGTGCTGCTGGATTTGGTTTGCCAGTATTTTACTGAGAATTTTCACATCGATGTTCATCAGGGATATTGGCCTAAAATTTTCCTTTTTTGTTGTGTCCTCCCAGGTTTTGGTATCAGGATAATGCTGGCCTCATAAAATGAGTTGGAGAGTATTCCTTCTTTTTCTATTGTTTGGAATAGCTTAAGAAGGAATGGTACCAGCTCATCTTTGTACCTCTGGTAGAATTTGGCTGTGAATCCATCTGGTCCTGGACTTTTTTTGGTTGGTAGGCTATTAATTACTGCCTCAATTTCAGAACTTGTTATTGGTCTATTCAGAGATTCGACTTCTTCCTGGTTTGGACTTGGGAGGGTGTATGTATCCAGGAATTTACCCATTTCTTCTAGATTTTCTAGTGTATTTGCGTAGAGGTATTTATATTATTCTCTGATGGTGGTTTGTATTTCTGTGGGATTGGTGGTGATATCCCCTATATCATTTTTTATTGTGTCTATTTGATTCTTCTCTGTTTTCTTCTTAATTAATCTGGCTAGCGGTTTATCTATTTTGTTGATCTTTTCAAAAAACCAGCTCCTGATTCATTGATTTTTTGAAGGGTTTTTTATGTCTCTATCTCCTTCAGTTTTGTTCTGATCTTAATTATTCCTTGTCTTCTGCTAGCTTTTGAATTTGTTTGCTGTTGCGTCTCTAGTTCTTTTAATTTTGATGTTAAGGTGTCAATTTTAGATCTTTCCTGCTTTCTCTTGTGGGCATTTACTGCTATAAATTTCCCTCTACACACTGCTTTAAGTGGGTCCCAGAGATTCCGGTACATTGTGTCTTCGTTCTCATTGGTTTTCTAATAACTTATTTATTTCTGCCTTCATTTCATTATTTACCCAGTAGTCATTCAGGAGCAGGTTGTTCAGTTTCCATGTAGTTGTGCAGTTTTGAGTGAGTTTCTTAATCCTGAGTTCTAATTTGATTGCACTGTGGTCTGAGAGACTGTTATGATTTCCGTTCTTTTGGATTTGCTGAGGAGTGTTTTACTTCCAATCATGTGGTCAATACTAGAATAAGTGCGATGAGGTGCTGAGAAGAATGTATATTCTGTTGATTCGGGGTGGAGAGTTCTATAAATTCTATTAGGTCCACTTGGTCCAAGCTGAGTTCAAGTCCTGAATATCCTTGTTAATTTTCTGTCTGGTTGATCTTTCTAATATTGACAGTGGGGTGTTAAAGTCTCCCACTATTATTGTGTGGGAGTCTAAGTCTCTTTGTAGGTCTCTAAGAACTTGCTTTATGAATCTGGGTGCTCCTGTATTGGGTGCATATATATTTAGAATAGTCAGTTCTTCTCCCTGCATTGATCCGTTTACCAATACGTTATGCCCTTCTTTGTCTCTTTTGATCTTTGTTGGTATAAAGTCTGTTTTATCAGAGATTAGGATTGCAACTCCTGCTTTTTCTTTTTGTTTTCCATTTGCTTGATAGATCTTCCTCCATCCCTTTATTTTGAGCCTGTGTGTGTCTCTGCACGTGAGATGGGTCTCCTGAATACAGTACCCTGTTGGGTCTTGACTCCTTTTCCAATTTGCCAGTCTGTGTCTTTTAATCAGGGCATGTAGCCTGTTTACATTTAAGGTTAATATTGTTATGTGTGAATTTGATCCTGTCATTATGATGCTGGCTGGTTGTTTTGCCCTTTAGTTGTTGCAGTTTCTTCACAGTATTGGTGTTCTTTACAATTTGGTATGTTTTTGCAGTGGCTGGTACTGGTTGTTCCTTTCCATGTTTAGTGCTTCCTTCAGGAGCTCTTGTAAGGCAGGCCTGGAGTGACAAAATCTCTCAGCATTTGCTTGTCTATAGAGGATTTTATTTCTCCTTCGCTTATGAAGCTTAGTTTGGCTGGATGTGAAATTCTGGGTTGAAAATTATTTTCTTTAAGAATGTTGAGGCTGGGCACGGTGGCTCACGCCTGTAATCCCAGCACTCTGGGAGGCTGAGGTGGGTGGATCACTGGAGGTCAGGAGTTCGAGACCAGCCTGGCCAACATAGTGAAACCCCATCTTTACTAAAAATACAAAAAAAAATTAGCTGGGTGTGGTGGCACAGGCCTATAATCCCAGCTACCTGGGAGGCTGAGGCAGGAGAATTGCTTGAACCTGGGAGGTGGAGGCTGCAGTGAGCTGAGATCATGCCACTGCACTCCAGCCTGGGTGACAAAGCGAGACTCCATCTAAAAAAAAAAAATGTTGAATATTGGTCCCCACTCTCTTCTGGCTTGTAGGGTTTCTGCAGAGAGATCTGCTGTTAGTCTGATGGGCTTCCCTTTGTGGGTAACCCGACCTTTCTCTCTGGTTGCCCTTAACATTTTTTCCTTTATTTCAACCTTGGTGAATCTGATAAGTATGTGTCTTGGGGTTGCTCTTCTCGAGGAGTATCTTTGTGGTGTCTCTGTATTTCCTGAATTTGAATGTTGGCCTGCCTTGCTAGGTTGAGGAAGTTCTCCTGGATAATATCCTGCAGAGTGTTTTCCAACTTGATTCCATTCTCCTAGTCACTTTCAGGTACACCAATCAAACGTAGATTTGGTCTTTTCACATAGTCCCATATTTCTTGGAGGCTTTGTGTGTTCTTTTTATTCTTTTTTCTCTAATCTTGTCTTCTCTCTTTATTTCATTAAGTTGATCTCCAGTCTCTGATATCCTTTCTTCTACTTGATGGATTTGGCTATTGATACTTGTGTATGCTTCACAAAGTTCTCATCCTGTGTTTTTCAGCTCTGTCACATCATTTATGTTTTTCTCTACACTGGTTATTCTAGTTAGCAATTCATCTAACCTTTTCTCCAGGTTCTTGGCTTTCTTGCACTGGGTCAGACCATGCTCCTTTAGCACAGAGGAGTTTATTATCCACTTTCTGAAGCCTACTTCTGTCAATTCGTCAAATTCATTCTCCATTCAGTTTTGTTCCCTTGCTGGTGAGGAGCTGTGATCCTTTGGATGAGAAGAGGTGTTCTGGATTTGGAATTTTCAGCCTTTTTTGCACTGGTTTTTCCTCATCTTTGTGGATTTATCTACCTTTGGTCCTTGACGTCGGTGATGTTCGGATGGGGTTTTTCAGTGGACGTGCTATTCCTGGTTTTTAGTTTTCCTTCTGACACGCCCCTCTGCTGCTGGTTTGCTGGAGTTTGCTGGAGGTCCACTCCCGACCCTGTTTACCTGGATATCACAGTGGAGGCTGCAGAACAGCAAAGACTGATCTTTCCTCTGGAAGCTTTGTCCCAGAGGGGCACCTGCCAGATGCCAGCCAGAGCTCTCCTGTAGGAGGTGTCTGTCAGCCCCTACTGGGAGGTGTCCCCCAGTCAGGATACACGAGGGTCAGGGACCCTCTTGAGGAGGCAGTCTGACCCTTAGCAGAGCTTGAACGCTGTGCTGGGAGATCTGCTGTTCTCTTCAGAGCTGTCAGGCAGACGTTTAAGACTACTGAAGCTGCGCCCACAACCGCCCCTTTCCCCAGGTGCTCTGTTCCAGGGAGGCGGGCGTTTTATCTATAAGTCCCTGACTGGGGCTGCTGCCTTTTTTCAGAGATGCCCTGCCCAGAGAAGGGAAATTTGGCAGTCTGGCCACAGCAGGCTTGCTGAGCTGCAGTAGGCTCTGCCCGGTTCCAACTTCCCAGAGGCTTTGTTTACACTGTGAGTGTAAAACTGCCTACTCAAGCCTCAACAATGGTGGATGCCCCTCCTCCCACCAAGCTCGAGTGTCCTGGGTTGATCTCAGACTGCTGCTGTGCTGGCAGTGAGAATTTCAAGCCAGTGGATCTTAGTTTGCTGGGCTCCATTGGGGTGGGACCGGCTGAGCCAGACCACTTGGCTCCCTGGCTTCAGCAACCCTTTCTAGGAGAGTGAACGGTTCTGTCTCGCTGGTGTTCCAGGCGCCACTGGGGTATGGAAAAAAAAAGAACTCCTGTAGCTAGTTCGGTGTCTGCCCAAATGGCCACCCAGTTTTGTGCTTGAAACCCAGGGCCCTGGTGGGGTAGGCACTGGAAGGAATCTCCTGGTTTGTGGGTTGCGAAAACTGGCACAAGCACAGTATCTGTGCTGGAGTTCCTCAGGCTCAGTCCCTCATGGTTTCCCTTGGGTAGAGGAGAAAATTCCCCAACCCCTTGCACTTCTCGGGTGAGGCGATGCCCCACCGTGCTTCAGCTCACTCCCCGTGGGCTGCACCCACTGTCCAACCAGTCCCAGTGAGATGAACTGGGTACCTCAGTTGGAAATGCAGAAGTCACATGCTTTCTGTGTGAATCTCGCTACGAGCTGCAGACTGGAGCTGTTCCTATTCAGCCATCTTGCCAGCAATCCCCTGCAACTCTTAATTTCTGGCTACAGGATCAGTAATGTCAAGGGTGTAAGTGACTGGCCCAATGTCATATGGCTCGTTTGTTACAGAATCGGGATGCAAAAACTGAGCTTGAAAAATCAACCAACCAGTACAACCACAACAGCAGGGCAGGGCCACCCAGCCTCTGTGTTTCACTCTGCATGGCTGGCCCACCAAGTTCCCTTGGCCTTATGGCTTCTCATTTAAACTGCAGAGAAGCTATGGTTAAGTCAAAGGCTCAAGTAGGTTAGAGTGAATTACTGAATCAGAGGAGTCCTATTTACACAAAGGAGGGAAGGAGTATCATAAAGAGGAAGAAAAGTAAAAGGAGGCATAAATGAAGAAAATGAAAGAGGAATCCGCTAAGAATAGACAAAGTGAGCGTCAAAATGACTCCACCCCAGGAAGGAGAGGGGGAGGGACCCATGGAGCAGGAGGGAAAAGGATTCCTCCCCCTCAGTAATCTTAATTATAACAGTATAGGACAGGTATGAATAGTGTTGTTTTATATATGAGAAAACTGAAGCTCAGAAAAGCTGTATCACTTACTCAAGGAAATACAGTTGGTAAGAGTCTCCTAATTCTGTAAATTTTTTCTTTTCATAGGTCTCTTTCTTCCCTTGTTTCCATCATTATTTCCCTCTGGCCTCCTTTTATGTGTACAAAGTGAAGTACGGAGGTTTTTACCTTTTTTCTGAAATAGTTATCAAATATCCCATGATGGAGTGAGTACGTGGTTACCATGACAACACAGCCCTCACTGAGGACTAGCCTCCCTGCTTTGCCTCCGGAATCATGTTTCACGGAACAGGTTCCTCTCCGTGCAACTTCTAGCAGCTGTAATTCTACATTTTGTTTGGGTGATTATTTGCTGAATGTCTGTCCTCCACTAGACTATGTAAGTTTCACAATGGCAGAGACCAGCCTACTTTGCCAAGTGTGCCCCCAGCGTTTTGCACAGTGCTTAGCACCAGGATCTATGTGTTATTTGCTAAGCAAATGTTCTGTGGTTCCTCTCCGCTCTCTTCTGAAAGTTACATGGACAGTAACCTTTAGCTCACAATTATGTTAATAAATACTGTGTAACGAGTCGGGCCGGTATTTACAGATAGTATACACGTGAATGAACACACACACACTCACGACTGCACAACAGCCCGGGGCAGGTGCACTCAAGAGGAAACGCGCACAGTCGGAGCCAGCCTGACCAACGCTGTTAAACACCGCTGCGCTGGGCTCCGCGGGCCTCTGCCGCGTGGGAGGGCACCCAGGCTGACGCGCTGCGGGAGTCTGGGGCCCACTGGGACTTGCCTGCCGGGCCGGGTGGCGGCGGCGTGGGCGGTGAGCTGCGCGGTGATTGGCCCGCGCCTGCCGGGGCGGGGCGGGGCTGGCAGCGGGAGGCAGGCGCCTGAGCCAAGGGGGGCGTGCGCGGCGGCGGCTGCCGTAGTTTCAGTATAAACAAGGAACCCGACTGGTTAGACAGATTTTGTTTTTCTTCTTCCCGCGCGCTTTAGCTCCCTGTCCTTTGGTCGCATTTGTGGGCGCGCGGCACGCAGCCGGGAGGCCGAGGACTCGGAGTTCACCTGCAGGTAGGTTGTTCCCTGGCTGGGTTGTTCTCCCGGCTGGGGGACCACAGCCCGGAGCGGGAACTCCGGACCCTACTGCGCGCTGCGCTCTCCCTGGAGATCCCTGGGCCGCGCGGGGAGCGAGCGGGGCTCAGAGACTTCACCGGCTGCCGGGTGCGCTCCGAGGCGGCGGGAGATCCCGAGGCGAGTGAGCGCGAACGCGGGCGCCAAGAGCCGAGTTACAGCCCGGGACCGGGGGAGGGCCCCTGCCCGGCCGCTGCGGGTACCTGGGACTGCCGCGGCCCCAACAGGTGCGAGGCCGAGCCGCTGGGACCCGGGCAGGGCCAGGCTTGGGTTGGGTTGGGTTGTGCCTTCCCTCTTTCTCCCTGATCCTGCAGCCAGGCCTTCTGTCTCGAGATAGGTGGTTTTTGAGGATTTGTCTTGAGTTGTAATCGCGTCCATCATTTTTTTCATCCCTTCTTTCCTTCGTGTGCATACCTAGGTTGATTCTTCCACTTCTTGACCAGTTTTGTGTGCGTGTGTGTGTAGGGGGAGCTGTTTATTTTTGTTGTCAGTGCCATGTAATCTAAAGTCTGACTCGTAGGAAGGGACAAGGGAACAGAAGTCACATACTCGCCACCGACAAGGTGATGTGCTGTCATCCTTCGGTGTTCACCTGGCAAACTTGGGAGACACTGAGTCGCCTTGCTTTTGCCAGAGCTCAGTTGAGTCGCCTCGGGTCACCTGCCTGGGGAATCTCAGATGAGCTAGAGGTATCTAGGAGCCTCGCGGGCAGTCAGCTTAAGGGAGGTTCTTTCTAAGGGAGCTGTGAAAACAACTTAAGTGCTGCACCAGGGAAAAGGGCGAGACGGGGGCTGGGGTGCGCGCGCCTTTGTGTGTGTGTATGGACGTACCATTTCAATACTGCTTGCTGTCTTGCCCCAACCAAATCGGCGCAGTTCAGGCAAAAGCAACGTAGCTTAATCCTCTGACACTGCCGAGGGTGGCACAAGTGTGGCAGATAACACAAGGAGATTGTCTAGACGGCGATTTTCTCTTCGGAATGTAGATGTGTCCATCCTCCCTGATGAATTCGGTGGATATGGTGTATATAGATGAATATGCACACAAATTTGTGTATGTGTTTGGGCCGAACGCGTCTCCAAGGAGTCCTTCGTCAGCACCATGTGACGACGGTCAGGAACTGCTGGTGTGTGTAGATCTATATTTAGCTCAGATGGTCTAATGGCCGAAGGGAGGGTCTCTGAACTGGGTGCATAAAGGGGAAGAGTCTAGGGATCAGGGTGGTGCACTCTTGAATGATGTCTGGCACAGTCACACTCAGATGGGGTGAATAATTGCCCTTTCCTCGTGAAAACAGTAGCTAGAGCTTGGCATGTGATGGCTATGCCTTAATTTAAAACATAGTTGGACCATGGCGATAAGCCTCTGCTAAGAAACAAGGAGGTTTACAGTTAAGCAGCGTATATACCTGGTTGGCCGTTTGGGTGAAAATAACTGGTCCCATGAGATTTAGAACAAATATAGAGTTGCTTTCTTTAATAAAAAGAAATAAAAATTATTTGCTGTTGAGGTTTTCATAACAGAAAAAAAGAAGGCAGCTTGTTAAACCCTATCATTAAAGGTAATTTTATTTTTTTAAGTGAGGGGCAGTGGTGGAGCTAGAGAGGAGGACCTTAGGGCACTTTTGACAGATATCAGGGTTTACAAACAGCGTTATATTATGCCTCTCAAGCAGATTTTCTGGTGAAGATGAGATCAGCCACTGATTAACAAGTTTCTTGTTGGCATTCTTCCACTGCATGTCGGGTCAATCCTTTGTTTTCTTGGAGGTGGGCAACATTTCTAACTACTAAGCATATTGGCCTTGTACTTTCCAGTTGTCTAACGAAGTGTTACATTCTTAGAATTTATTTCTCCTATGGTGCATTTTCAGTCTTGCTTCATTTTATGTGCTCCACTGGATATTTTATCTGATACTAACACATCTAATACCTGGGAATCATACTGTCTTTTGGAGAAGAGAATCACCAGAAAGCATTCCCATGTATTGTCTCCCGCTAACCCCCTACAGCTTAGCATCTAATAGATTATTTATATGTGTGTGTGTGTGTGTGTATATATACACATATATGTACATATATACATATGTATTTATATGTATAACTAAATCAAAGTATTATAATAACACATAGTTCTTATATAACATTTTATTCTTAGAACCTAAAATTAACTACTAGTTAATAGAGTACAATAGACTATATAAAAACAATTCAATACACCTTTCTAAGGAAAAAGACATGGTAAGAAAATTGAAGGGGAGGAGCTGGGATCCCTAGTATGACTCAGGAGTGTTGGGATCAGCTTTGTCAATATCCGCAGAGTACCTGGAAGAATTGGACTTGGGAGGAACATTGGGATAGCCCCAGGAGAGCACCTCCTTGGAAAGGAGATGGGTGAATGGAATGTCTTTTTCTTTGCTTGGGAGAAGAATCTAGAATCCTTGAAGCAGGGATTGGGAAACTTGATTCTGATGCCACACATAATAAATGAAAAAGCTGTGAAAACATTTTGTGACTTCTTAAAGAGGCCAATTGCACTGTTAAAAATGCTGTTTAAGATTTATGGGATTTTTATTAGTAGTAGTTGAATTCAGGTATTGCCAGCCCACCCCCCTCACTTTTTCAGACCTATAGTTGTCCTTTTTGATTCTCCAGTTAAAACTACAAAAAAGATCCATGCAACCTTTGCTTATCCTAAAGTGACAGATGTTATAGCCTAGTGCTGTGGCATATTTCTGCCTTGGAAATAAGGAGACTTGGGTTCTGGTTGATCTGGAGCCCTAATCAGTGATTTATTTTTTCTCTATGCCTGCAGTGTCTATAAAACGACTGTGGGGAGTTGAACAGAATGATTTATGAGTTTCTTTAGGTCTGTCATAACTGCTTTATTTTGTTGTACTATCGCTTCATGCATTTACACCCTGTCTTAGAGGTGGACTAATGAAGGGACAAGTGATTTGCAGTTAGGTGTTCACCTACTTTCTGGGTACATGGAAATGAAGAGAGGAGAGTGAAATTTCTTTTTTATTTATGAATTCATGTAGAAATTTAATATTAAACTGCTTTTTGCTTTGTTTTTCTTTAGGTATGAATATTAAAAATGATTATCAAAAAGATTGGTGTCAGATTATTTTTTGGCCTATTAAATCAATATTACTATCCACTAAATTTTTAAATTTGTCTTCAACAATCATTTTTTCTTAGGTTTATATTTATTATTTCATTTCAGGATATGCCTATGTCTGGAAATCATTCAGTTGATTCAAACTTTATTAGGAAACCCTGCTTAGAAAATTAGTTTAACCCAGAGAAAGTACAAATTAGCCTGGACTACCAATATCTTTCTATTGATCTAAAAGAGAAAAATGGGAAGGGATGAATATAGTTTTTCAAAAACTCACAGCTGGAAAATTATCCCAGTAACCATGTTATATACTAAAATATAAATAGAAAACTCTACTTTTTAATAAACATCCTCATTAGGTATCAGATCATTTTCCTGAGATGAATTAGGTGTAGAAAAATAAAACCTTTCATTAAAGAATGTTCTCCACATGCTATTATCTAATTTGGGTTGAGATCTACCTTGTATAAATGATGATTCAGCTACTCATATCTGTGCTGTTCAGTATGGTAGCCACTAGTCATATGGGAATATTTAAACTTAAGTTTATTTAAATTAAACAAAATTTAAAATTTAGTTTTTCAGTTGCAATAAGCCACATTTTAAGTGCTAAGTAAGTCACTTGTGGCTAGTGGCTGCTGTATTGGATTGTGCAAAAGAAAAACATTTTCAGTATCCCAGAAAGTTCTTTTTGACAGCACTCAATTAGGTAATGATGATTTTGATTATCCAGAAGATCATTTTTATTCTTCCAGGAAAATGAAATATTTAATTCTCATTATAGATGAGCACCTACAATGTAAGGCATTATGACCAAATGGCATTATTAGCCAGTACGTCTTCACCTGTACAGTATGAGCTGTATAGTTCAATAATATGCCAAGATCACAAATACCAGTTTCTCAATATATTTTCCCCATAACTCTAGTTATCCTTTTGCTTTTCTAAACCAGCACTGTTACTGCTACAAAGTGCCAACTCTTTGAAAGACAAGGAACGAGGAGCCATCTACTGTCCGGTTTAGGAACTGCATGGAAGATGTAGCTAAAAAGTTAATGCATAAAGAATGTATGCATTACATTCTTTACATTCAATATGTCCTGGGTTCAGTTCCCACACAGTAAAGATTTATTTCATAGAAGAGTTTTAATTGACTCTCCAGGTTATGTGCCGAAATGTCATTTGTGGTTTAATAAACTGCTAACAACACATCCCCAAGACAAAAGATGACAAATCTTAGCTTTGTTTTTCTTCCAAGGAAACCAAAGATAGTAAACTATTTGAGTCAGAATCCCCTTCCTCCAACAATTAGGAATTAGTATGAAATATTTAAGCAGCATCTAAGACAAATCAAGCAGAATGGAAATTAACTTTTTGTATGGATGCTGATAAATCAGGAAATAATATCACTGTTTCATTGCGAGAGAAATAGGATCTTCCTTCCTCAAAAATACTGATTTTTTTTTCCTCCCTTAACTGTGAAATCTACTAAGCATGTGGGACTCACTTTCAAAGAAGGTACTTATCTTGGAGTCTTGGAGTTTCTGTCTGTTCACATACCAAAGAAGTGAGTTGACTCTGAGTTGTCTTCTCTGTGTTGTTTGCCCTCTCAATACAATACCTTTTTTTTCTTTTTTTTTTTTTTTTTTAAGGAGGTAAGCAGAGGTGTAGCATTTCTGCAGTTTCCAGAGATGCTGTTAGAAATCTCTGATTTAGGACGTCTTCTGACTGAGGACAGAAATGGGAAGATAATCTGGAAATTTTCTTTCTTTCTTTCTTTCTTTCTTTCTTTCTTTCTTTCTTTCTTTCTTTCTTTTTTTTTTTTTTTGACATGGAGGCTTGCTCTGTCGCCCAGGCTGGAGTGCAGTGGCGCGTTCTCAGCTCACTGCAACCTCTGTCTTCCAGGTTCAAACAATTCTCCTGCCTCAGCCTCCCCAGTAGCTGGGACTACAGGCACCCGCCACCACGCCCAGCTAATTTTTTGTGTTTTTAGTAGAGACAGGGTTTTACCGTGTTAGCCAGGATGGTCTCGATCTGCTGACTTTGTGATCTGCCCACCTCAGCCTCCCAAAGAGCTGGGATTACAGGCGTGAGCCACCGCGCCTGGCAATCTTGACGTTTTCAAATTTAAAATAAGTCATGTTTTAAATAGTGTCAGAAACTTGACTTTTGCCTTTCACCCTGGCTCAAATCCATAGTTAGATACACCCTATGAAGGTGCAGTCAATCTTTGTATTCTAGCAGGGCGAAAGGAGACAGGCTGCAAGTACTTGAGATAACAGCTGGAGTAAAGCTGAAATACGTGAACTCTTAATTCAGATCTATGCAGCTTCAAGGGAGAAAAGGAAGAAACAAGTTGTTGAAGATGAATCTCACCAAAGGGCAAAGTTTCTCTGGCATCTAGATGGGAATTCGGGAACCAGTAATTCCGGGATATTAAATTAAACCTCTCCCCACTAAACAAATATGCTTTCAAAGTTCAGCTGTGATACGGAGGCCTTCATCTACTTAAGTGTTTTTCTTTTCTTTAATTGGGACACATGCCCAACATTTGAACAGAAGCTAAAATATTATGGTCAACATCAAGGCATTGGATTTATTAAATATTTCACCAAAGCACTGTATGTATGATGAAATAGGGATTGAAAAAAATAAACCTTTTTTTTCTCTGACTCTTACATTTTCTGTCTCTTTCCAAGTGTAGAGGAAATGCTGACTTGACATTCTAGTAGAGATTTACAAAGCACCTATTGCAGACATTGAGGGATAGCTTTTGATTCAGTTCCCATACCCATCTTTTCCTCAACCTCTTTTCCAATTTGAATTGTCACCTGAAACCACCTTATCCTGGTGCACCTGCTTCATCATAAATAACATTGTGCAAAAGCAGTCGCTAATTCAAACACAGTCTGCTGTTTAGAAAAAGGCAGCTTTTCATCTGGCACTTTAGTGGATTTGAAACCATTAGGCATGCCTTTCAAATCCATTCATATCGTAAATCACCCAGAGCTTGCTTCCTTGCTGCTGGATCAATGTCAGGCTGAACTTTTTCAGGGTCCTTGGAAGAACGTGATCTATCTTTGTGACCAAATTAGCTGCCTCTGTAAGATGTCTTGTCTGTCAACTAACTTTTCAACTTCCCAAATTAATTTTAAGAAAGAACATTCATCTTGTGTACCTGGGTTGGGTATATCTTAACTTCCTGTTGGAAGATTTTCCAGCATAACCTGTAATCTATATGCTAATTATGGTGGCTCTACACTTTCTTTTCGCCTGTTTCATTGTTTTAAAACCAGAGTCTGTTTTCCATTATCTCCCTGCATCTTCTAATATCCTAAAGTGCTGCCTCAATTTTTGCAGAAAAGAAAAGAGAAAGCCCATTTCAATAGCTGTACCCAAACCAAAATAATTATGATTATTTTATTCTCTTAACTCAGTTTGATAGGTACTACCTGAAAATACAAGAATTCCTTGATTTCTTTCTTTCTTTTTTTTTTTTTTTGAGATGGAGTTTTGCCTTTTTTGCCCAGGCTGGAATGCAATGGCACGATCTTAGCTCACAACAACCTCCGCTTCCCAGGGTCAAGCGATTCTCCCGCCTCAGCCTCCCAAGTAGCTGGGATTACAGCCATGTGCCACCATGCCCGGCTAATTTTGTATTTTTAGTAGAGACAGGGTTTCTTCATGTTGGTCAGGCTGGTCTCAAACTCCTGACCTCAAGTAATCCGCCCGCCTCAGCCTCCCGAAGTGCTGGGATTACAGGTGTGAGCCACCGCTCCTGGCCTAAGAGTTTCTTGATGTCTAAGGAGCCAGTCTTGAAAGTGTTAGACCAAGGTTACTGTCAGAGCCACCATGTTCTTCTTCCTTGGCGTAGAGAAATAATATCTAGGTTCTGTGCAGGTCAGCACATGGACTTCTTAATCTGGGGTCTGTAAACTCCCTGAAAGTATATGAAAACTGGTGTGTAAATTTCTCTGGGGGTGGTGATGGGGAGAGGTTTGTGATCTCCCTAAAGAGTTAAGAGCCACTGACTGAATTGAATATACTCTGAGTTGTAAAGAACTGGCTTACAAATGCAACTTCGTAAGGTGAGAATAGCTTTTGAGATTAACCTGCTCTCTGCTTTATGTATTATTGGTAGGATTTGAATAAAGTCAGCAGCTTTTTCTTGTGTCTCATACAAATCTCTTTTTTTCTGAAGGAATTAGCTACTTTGAAGTTGGACTTTATGGTAAATTAATGCCAGTATTTAACTTGCTGTTCCATCCATATATTCTAATTTTGGAGAAGAGTCAGTTTTTCCTAAACAAAATTTTTTGTTAGCTGGTCCCCATTGATAGGTATATTGAGTTAGGCAAAATTTTTACTAACGACAGATGGCAGGCAGTGGAGAGGCTGGTTCTGAGGCTGTGTTGCAAAGTGTAAAGAGGAGTAAGTTGAGAGTTTATAGGATCTCAGAGACAGAAAATATTAGTTGTGGAAGATGAAAGGAGAAGATTTGCTGCCAATAAGGAAGGCATGAGAACTGCCTGACTGAATGAAATAAATGGAAGTTATGGGTTACGAGCAACCTTACCCTGAGCCTTTCTTCCCCTGGAGAAATTGTTAGGAAGTGATTCCTGGAGTTAATAGTGCCCAGGGATAAATACTTGCCTGGATTCTCATGCCCAGCACTTTGAATATTGGATTTATTTTCTTAACAAGAACTAAACCAATATTTAATCTTTTGGGCCTCACTTTTCAATTCCAGAACTGAAGCAGTTAGAATAAAAGACCCAGACATCAAGTCTGAGTAATACCGAACAAACAGTAGCTCTTGGTGTGGTTAACAAGAGGGAAGATACTTTAGAGAAAACAGACTACTATGTTTGTCTTCTTAGGTATTACAATTCTGTTCCATAAACTGTACTTTCTGTACCATTCTGCTGATTTTTCCTTGTGATTATAAAACGCTTCTATTACACAGGCAGTTGATCCTTCCGAAAACAGCTAGACTGGCCACTGGTTAGACATTGTCCAGCAATGAGTGATGAATACTGTGAGCCATGATTTTTCTCTTGGTCATTTCTTTCATTAAATTTTTTTTGCCGGAAATCTATAAAGTACACACAAGCAAATATTACTATATTTCATTGAGTCTAAGAGGCTATCCCTCGTTAGATGCTCTGTCATTGCATATATCACTTTAAAAGACTGTTAAGTAAACATGTTTTCTTACCATTCAACTGTTTACATGCATCCCAGTTTTGAGGATATTATAATTTTTTTTAAAGTCCATATTGGAATCTCTGGAATCTCTATGTCTTGATGAGACCATGCTTTGATGGCAAAGGTCAGTAGCTTAAATACTGCTGTTGACAGTTGAACTTTTTAATAAGAGTAATTAATGGTACTAATACTTCTTTGGAGCAAGGATTTATGTAGAACATGTAAAATGTATGAATTATTCTAATAGCCTACAATTTGAGACAGACTGACAGGATTTTTGTTTAATGCTTAAACTTTAGAAGTTCAAAGAAGACCATTTGCAGCATATCATAATGTAGTGTAATAAATTTTGAACCTGGAGTCTGAAGACCTAACTCTGAAACCCTACCCCACCTGTCCCTTACTCCATGTCTAACCCCAAGCGAGTTATTACAGTTTTTCTGAACCTCAGCTTCTTATATAGTCAAAAAAAAGATGGGGATGCCTGCCAGATGAGGTGGTTGTAGAATCCAGGAAGGCATTTGTAGTCAGTAAACAATTACACAAATGGAGCCAATGAAATTCTCAGAGCCCTCTGCATCACGGATGTCATAAGAGAGACCTGGAATGGGGATTCAGAGAGGTAAAGGTCTGTGAAATGTGAAGACATTTTCCAGCACACAATATCCCATAGTGAGAAGAATTATGACTAATGAAGGGAGAAGGGATTAAGGAATTGAAAAGATTCTGTCTGGAGTATATGGGGAGGTAGAAAAATAAGACTATTGTGCATAATAAATAATGGGCTGAAGTGACTTGAATCTCAGTAGTTGGTTATTGCTATGTGCAAGTTCAACAATCAAGGTGGTTTCATGGGAAAATGAAATCAGCTAATTAGCAGCATAACTTTGGGCTTGTTAGAAGGCAGAAAATAGCCTGTGACATAACTCTGTTCTTACAGTTGATTTTTAAGTACAATAAGCCATAAACCTTATTCATTTACCTCAATTTGGTTTCTGTCACTATTTGCATTATATTCTTTTAGTGCCTTGTTGGAGGGAGTTTTCTAAGTATTGATATTTTGCACCTCTTCAGAGAAATACTGCAAGTGGTATAGTTCCAAAAAACAATACACAAGCCTTTTGCCATTGCTCTAATCATAATGCTCTAAGAAGAACCTTGCACTAAAGAAGATAAGTAGTTTTGTTACTATTTTGGAAGGGATAAGCAAAATTGGAAATAACAGATGGAAAACATATCTGGTGGTGCTGAGGGTTTGAAGATTTCACAGCCATTAAGTGCCAGAATTAGGACTTCATTAAATCTGAATCTTTGTCCAGATCTGAGCTCTTGTCTACTCTGCAGGAATAAATAATTAAGAAGTGCAAATACTTGGTAGCTTTTGGTGCTGATTCCTTGAAAACAAAATCTGAGTGACCCATGACCGTTTTGTGGGTTGGTGCTTACTGCTAATTAGCCTCTGGCCGGAGAGTACTTGGTGCAGGGGAGTTCCATCCAGCAAGAGTGCAGCGATGTGCCTCATTGCTGGGTCATCTTAGCCTGGTCACCTTACCCCCTTGGGTCTCAGAAGAGGAGATTGGACTAGATTGTGATGGCACATGGGCTGTGGCTCCTTCCATGACTGTCTGACAGTCATTGCTAATCACTTACAACCTACATTCTCCCACTGAGCTACAGCTTCCATATTTTCCTTGCTCATCCTCAGGCCTTTAGACCACCACTTTAATTGATTGCAGTTGGAAAGTGAAAGGAAAGTGAAATGAAATGTTTTCCAGATACTGGGCCAGGTGATTTCTGTGGTTCCTTTGAATATTTATCATTTTCTGATTTTTTGGAATTCCCAAATCCTGGCCAACCATCTCCCAAAAGCACTTTGTTAGAATGGTTGCGCTAGCAATGAGTAAGTGCTCCAATGAAGGAAAATGTGTGGTTCCTGAAAGAAAAAAATCCCAATTCCAAGGGCATGACACTCCTCATGCTGCATGTGAAGGACACTGTGGTTATAAACATCTAAAACTTTTTAAAGCCAGAGGCAACCAAATCCAGACAAAGGGTTCTCTCTCAGTTATCTGAAGGAACTTTTAGGTGCCTCTCATCTCACGTCCCTGCCTCCTCGTTTGAGGGCACTATGAGTTTCTCAGGGCAAGGACAGACTGGCTCTTATTCTTGCCGCCAAGGATGGCCAGTTTGCAACGATTATATTGCACAGGAGTAGTACTCATAGAAACCTGGCAATTTGAGGAGGAAAGAAACATACCTTGTCTATTGCCTTATAAAATGTTAACATTGAATAATTTATTTATTTAACTGCAGTTCCTACATGTGAGGTCTTGCCAACTAAGGGTGTGTGCAGACCATCTGTGTTAATGTTATATCCCATAGTGCCTGACCCTTTGGCTGCTATGACTATGTGCTACCTAAAGGAGAGACATGGGGCCAGTGACCCTAGTAGTGACAAATCTCTGTGAATAGAGTGGTTCTCAGTCATCACCTTCTTCCCATTTGTGGCTTTTTCATGGATCCCGTTAAATTGTCCCTCAACACTGGTTTGTGGAGGGGACAAAGTACTCAGAAATGAAGTTGGTTTTTATCTCCCATTTATTTTTCTTGATGCTTCTTTTATCTAATTCTGTTTTCACCTGCCAGGTTGGCTTTTATGATGGATGTTTTCTCTTAATGCCCCACCCCTGGCCGCCCCCTGCTGAGGCACATGCACAGGATGTGATGCTCTGTGTACCCATCAGCTGTAGCTGGAACAGATGCTCAAGGAGTGATGGATGTGACTTAGACAGGGCTCCACACCCCTCCCACATTGAGATGCAAATATCTTTTGGCATCTTAAAAAGAAAGATTAGTCCAGGTTATGTCCTTCTGCTGCCTCCACACACCCTGTCCCTGTCAGTCCGTAGCTTGGAGTATGGCTCCCCTTCATTGTTTGCCTTCTGAAGCCCCCAGTCTCTGCAGCTCTTCAATGCCTCCATTGTGCAGACGTGGTGCCAGAGACTGGGAGTCTGTTCTCAGGGCCGGGTGCCGTCCCTAGGAATTCAAGTAATAACTTAATAGCCTCTGGCCTCTGCAGAGCACCCTCTGACAAGGCCTTTGTGAACTGCAAAGTACACAGATGGAGAGGAGCAACTTATCTCAGGACTGTCACAGTGCTCCTTGCTCCCAAATCAGGTGTCTTCTCAGCCTGCATGTTTATTGAGAACTGAGGCTTTACAGATACCACCCCACAGCCCCAGGAGAATTTAACACAAAGGGGAGAAAATCAACAGCATCTGATCTTTCAGTGAAAACTGAAGAGTCTACATGAAATCTTGTGTGTACACATATACATATATAAACATGCACAGAGTATACTTCAACTCTAGGCCTACTTTGCAATTTAGTGTTTTCAGCTTCAATTTTGGTTGTCTTCCAGTACTTCAGATAGCTCTTCAGTGTTAGGTAACTTTTCCCAACCAAATTTTAAGGTGTACACATTTCCACCTTAGGAAAATTGTTGACTCCATGCGATAAAGCAATAGAAGTTCAGTTCCCTTGCCCCTTTCACAATCTGATGTGAAGGAGTGACATCTAAATATGACAGCCAGAGACTTGAGTTTAAGTCCAGGTTGGGCCCCTCAGTCTAAGCATTGTATGATATTTGATTGAATGAGAGTGGTACTCAAAAGCATGCATACGTGTCGTACTCAGAGAGCAATTTGGTTCCTGATGGGCTCTGATTCTGTGTCAGAACCTGAACTACTATTTTAATTGCCTATTCTCTCGTTACTATTAAATCTTAGTGCCTATTAAAGCTTACCTTTATTTTCATACTGCATATTGCTGACATTATTTTTTCTTCTTTTTTATTCCTTTTAGGAAAGTATGCCTCAGACTCCTCCCTTTTCAGCAATGTTTGACAGCAGTGGTTACAATCGAAACCTCTATCAGTCTGCAGAGGACAGCTGTGGAGGGTTGTATTACCATGACAACAACCTCCTCTCTGGATCCCTGGAAGCACTCATCCAGCACTTAGTACCTAATGTGGATTACTATCCAGATGTAGGTATTCATGTTTCTCTGAAACACATCCTTGGCAATGAGTAGAAATTGCAGTACAGTAGGCAGGGACCATAGATAATACAGAATTATATCTAGGTTGCTAAGAATTTTTCTAACAAGAAATTGCATATTGATTATCAAGTGCATTGAAATCAAATCGAGCCTGGATAAGGATCAGATTTTGGTATACTATGTGTATCAATTTCTTTTCAGGTTAGTTACAACATTGTAGATGGTCTGATACCATCTAAATGAAGTATCTGTAGAGTTGATTCATGCATATAGCTTAGTCCTTAAATAGAAATGTCAGAGAACATTGGATGCTCCCAGAATATGTAATGCCTTTTTTGTTTCCAAGACCATCACTATGCTAAGAAAAGTGAATGTAACCAAGGAAAGTATATGGAAGAGAAAACAAGATTTATGCTCAAGATGTAATTCTTTATAGATTTGACATCAGATGACATGGTTGCTTTGTTTTACCTTGGTAACCTACATTTATATAGCTAGCACTTTCTAATCTAGGGAATTTGTTGTATATTTTCTCAGTCTTTACAGTAATTCCAAGAGGGAAGAGAGGAGAAAACGATTCAGAGTGTTGAGTATTTGCTGATGGTCCCACTCCCAGCATCAGCAGTCAAACACAGGTTTTCTTTCTGGGACAAGTGACTTTTTCCCCCTTCCCTGTGCTGCAGCTACCTCTATGGAATTGAGCTTAGTAGTAGGAGATTTGCCGAGCAGCTGGTTATTGATAAAGATCTCATGAAAATATCTAGAGACTACATTCATTTGTCTTTATAAATTTAATGATAACCTTGGTGTGCAAAGGATAGTTGGTGCTTGCCGCAGTAATTCACCATAGTGTTTCTTACTGAGTTATCTCTCTGTGTATTGTTACATGGCATTTTCAGATATGTTGCCACACAGGGAAAACTTGTAGTCAAAAGTAAAAGGAATCCCTTGTTCAGCCCTGTGTTTATGAGCTAGTAAAGGCGCCTAAGGAAAAAAGAAAAATCCCATGGAATTTCTCTTTTCATTGGGAGTCTGAAATTATTATAACAAATAAGCACTACTTCATTATTGGCTTCTTAGGAGACAATGTGGTTAAAGAAAAGTATATAGTGTTATATTGTGCTTTATTAAATTGCTTTGCCTTTAAACAAATAAATAGGTTACTTGAAAGCCTGCCTTTGAATGTTCTGACACAAACACTTTACTGTGATGTGCTAGACACAGTGGAGAATTGTTGAGTGTTATGTGCATTGGGTAGGTAGGTTTTTTTGTTGTTATTTTTTATTTGGTTTCCACTGAGTTACAAAATATTTGGACACACAACCATGTTTTGTATGGGTAGTATATTCAAGTAAGATTTATCTCTCTGGGCTGAATTTCATTCTTCTTTACTAAAGTGAGTTATGTGTCTTGGTATCCTGGCTCCCTGAGGAAGGATGTGAAAATGTGCTCTGAATAATTCCAGGAGCCAAACTTATCCTGTACTTCTGTTATTTTTAGTATGGTTTCAGGGAAAACATACATCAGAAGGTAAAGGAGAAATTAACCTTACACTGTTTTACTACTAGTAGGCATTACTTTTGAAACTGCAGCATATGAACTTGATCAGGAGAACTTAATGAAATAAGACATAGTATAAAGGCAAGATATTAATTTCAGAGAGAATGTAACGATGATGACTTTTTTCTGTTGCTGCAGAGAACATACATATTTACCTTCCTACTCAGTTCTCGGTTATTTATGCATCCGTATGAGCTAATGGCCAAAGTTTGCCACTTATGTGTTGAGCACCAGAGACTAAGTGATCCTGATAGTGATAAGGTAATGGTACATTACAATTTGTTTTATTAGGAATGCTTACTTTATGGCTTAGATTTTGTGAAGTTGGTTCCTTAAGTAACCCTGGCTTATCCCCAGGCTGAAGTGCATAAATGGCATCATGGCTATACAAGGGGAATTGTGAATGGTATAAAGAATAAAGAACACAGGATAAATCAAATGCAGTTCGGGTGCACTGGCTCACGCCTGTAATCCCAGCACTTTGGGAGGCCAGGGTGGGTGGATCACCTGAGGTCAGGAGTTTTGAGACCAGCCTGGCCAACGTGTGAAACCCCACCTCTACTGAAAATACAAAAATTAGCTGGCCCTGGTGGCGCATGCCTGTAATCCCAGCTACCCAGGAGGCTGAGGCAGGAGAATCGCTTGAACCTGGGAGGCAGGTTGCAGTGAGCTGAGATTGCACCACTGCACTCCAGCCTGGGAGACAGAGTGAGACTCTGTCTCAAAAATAAAAGACATTAAAAATTTAAAAATTTTAAAAAATAAATTAATTAAATGCAATGGAGAATCCCTAGGTCCTGCCTTAAGTTGGTGGCACTTGGCATTGACATGGAGGGAGGGGGGCTGGAGCTTCTTCTTCATCCCTAAAGACTTTGCACTAGAAGTTTCTCAGTGACGCTCTTTGTAACTATTGATTTGATGTAGTCCATAGTGATAAATATCACTGAATTAGATTTGCTATTTCTCCCTAGAACCAGATGAGAAAAATTGCACCCAAAATCCTTCAACTCCTCACGGAATGGACGGAAACATTTCCCTATGATTTTCGGGATGAAAGAATGATGAGAAACTTAAAAGATCTGGCTCACCGAATAGCCAGTGGCGAAGAGGTTGGTAACCTGAATTTAGCGCGGCTGCTGGAATTCCCAGGCAGAGCCTGGGTGGGAAATGGTGCCGAATTATGCATCCTAATCTCCACTGCTTCCTCTCTGTTTTGCCTTTGGGCAAGCCCTCCACATCACATATTGGTCTATTTAGTATGTCAAGTGAGAATGATTATACCATCCCACTTCAAAGGGATATGATCTAGAGTTTTATGTGATTAATTTGGGGCTATGTTCATGTCAACTCATGCACAGGATTTATGTTGCAAGTATGTTTTAATTTTACTTTACTTTTACCTTTTTTCCTCCCAAAAAGGTTTGACACAGCTAGTTAGATGATAAATGGCATGTTAGTAGACATAAACACTAGTGGATACAAAGTAAATAACATTATTCTATTAACCGAGGATAAATAGTAGATTAATAAATCATAAATAGAAATAGACATTCTGGGCCATGGCAGAAAGAAAATAAATACGCTCCTGTTGAGAATGAGTAGAGGAGGACAGGACTGCTGTGGTATGAGTTTAAGTTCCAGGTAAAAGGGAAATACAGCTGGTCATGTAATATTCACTGTCAGAAAAGGGGAAGTATAGTAATTATTGAGGGACTTAAATGAAAAATTTAGAAACTTTCTTCTGAAGAACTTTGTATAGGGTCATAGAATGAGATCCTACAAACTGCTCTTTATGGTGTTTACAACATACCTTCCTGGATAGAAGCTGAGTTCATAGATTCATGTGTAAATTAGCAAAGATAATTCTTGGGGGAGGAGAAGACTGAGAAAATGAGGCAAGTCTTCCAGTGCTCAGAAGTTGATTTAAGGATAGACTCTAGTATAGGTAGAGATTAAAAGTAAGTCTCTTAGATAGGCTTTCATAAATATCACTTCCCTCAGTTGAGCCTTTGATAAGCACTAACTACTAGCTGTGACAAATTCAAGGTTATCCTTTTTGAAGCAGGACCAGAGGGCTGGTATTCTGTGTTGAGACTTGCTGGGCAAGGATGCCCTTGTAGTTTCCATGTTGCAGGTCAACTTCTGGGAACAAGTCATTCAGGCACAGATACACTTTCACCTGGAAAAAGTAGATGAAGCATTTGGCAATGATGTTGCATTTTATTCGTCTTAAAATGCATTTTCCATTATGAATAACCTTCCTTGAGAACTCTTTCAGTGGTGTGCTGCAACGTATAACTTGATACCCTATCCTTTTTTTCTGAGACAGAGCCTTGCTCTGTTCCTCAGGCTAGAGTGTAGAGTTGCGATCATGGCTCACTGCATCCTTGACTTCTCTGGCTTAATCAATCCTCCCACCTCAGCTTCCCTAGTAGCTGGGACTACAGGTGCATGCAACTGTGCCTGGCTCGTTTTTTCTATTTTTTGTAGAGACAAAGCCTCACTATGTTGCCCAGGCTGGTCTCCAACTTTTGGGCTCAAGCAATCCACTGGCCTTGGCCTCCCAAAGTGCTGGAATTACAGGTGTGAGTCACTGCACCCAGCCGCAATTTTTTGTGAGAAAAGGGGAAGTATATTAATTGTTGAGGGAATTAAGTGAAAAATTTAAAAACCTTCATCTGAAGAACTTTGGGGCTATGTTCATGTCAGCTCATGCACAGGATTTATGTTGCAAGTGTGTTTTAATTTTACTTTACTTATACCTTTTTACTTCCAAAAAGGTTTGACACAGCTAGTTAGATGATAATAAGTGGCATCTTAATAGATATAAACATTTTAATGCCATTTATCCCAATTTTACAAAATCAGACTAAAATTATGTAAGGCTAGCTTTTGAAAAATTTGTATGGGCTTTCCTGTATTATGTTCTCATGAAAATGGGATTAACCATTTTACTGTTACTTTTTGACATTATATTATGATGAACCCAAGTGCTCGAGACAGCCATTATTTCTGCCGGGCCGAATGAGTCATTTCCTGAGTCACTGTGCAAGTTATGACGGTTATAATCATTTTGCCAGTTTGCCTCTTACAGGTTCTAGCCAGGTATGAATTGATAGGTCCCTTGCTTACAAAGGCAAAAGTTAAGCATCATGGTGCAGTTTTGTAGTAAATCTTATGTTAGAGGGGTTAGCCGTGGAGTTCCTTGGCAGGGTCAGTGCTGGCTCAGTGACCTTGGTTTATGTATCTGAAGCTGCTCAAAAGATCAGTGACATCATAAGGGCTTTTTCTTGTATGAAGGCTGAGACCTAAGTCAAACAGTTTTCATTTCAGTTTGGTTGTCTTTAGCTACTTAACATTATATGTCAGTCATCTTATCTTCCCTCTATTGCCTTTATAACTTAGTTCTTTCCAAAAGAAACACCTTAAAAATCTTTTTCTTTTAAGATAAAATGTTGGCATTTTGAAAATACCAAATGGATGGTCCTTGTTGTTGCGGCAGTCAAAGGGGAGATCATTTTTATTTGTGTTTACCTGATGAGAATTGGTCTTTTTGTTTAACAGAATCAAGCCATTCGAGAGCTGGGTAGAACAGAGAGAAGGGCCAAACAGCCTTGTGACCCTGGCTTCTTTTCAACACTCCTGGGTTAATAACATATTCTTGATAGAAACCTTGCGAAGTTCAGATGGTTTTGAGCATGAAAAGAGGAGATAAGAAGACAAGCCAGTTCTAACTGAGGAATTGATTAAACTAAGGGTTGAGTGGAGAGATGTCACCTGCCTTGATCGGGTTGGGTTTCACAGGGAGATGTTGTTTCTTTAGCTGCTTCTATTCAGTATTCAGAATTCAAATCCACACTTGCCAGCTGGTTTATCTGAGTGTGTTTTGGCTAGTCCTCTAAATCCTTGCTCCTTTCTCATCTCTATAAATCACAGAAGTAACTGCCTTGTGTTAATGCCCTTTCAGCTCTGAAACTGTGTGATCGATGTCCTTCCTCCAGTTCTTTGGCTTCAGGCTCCTTATCAGTCACGTGCTTAGGTGGCTCTCCTCAGAGAGACCTTCCCTTGGCACCCAACTATGATCATACCCCCTCCCATTATGGGCTTTCACTGCTCTTCCCTTCATAGTCATTCTTAGCACTCTGTGATGAGTAATGATAGCTGGCCCTCTCTCTGTATTTGTGGGATCTGCATCCATGGGTTCAACCAACCTCAGATTGAAAATATTCAAAAAATATTAAGTCTGTACTGAACACATATAGACTTTTTTTCCTTGTCATTATTCCCTAAACAATACAGTATCACAGTGATTTACATAGCATTTACGTTGCGTTAGCTATTATAAGTAATGTAGAGATGATTTAAAGTATACAGGAGGATGTGCGGATGTTGTATGAAAATACTGTACCATCTTAGAGCGGAGACTTGACCATCTGCAGATTTTAGAATCCCAGGGAAGTCCTGGAACCAATCTCCCGAGGATACTGAGGGATGACTGTACTTGCATTTTTATTGCTTGTTTTCCCCTCTAGACCCCATGCTGTGCCCTCTTTGTTCACCACGGCATCCTTAACTCCTAGCTCAGTACCTGGCACCTAGTATTCTCTCAGTAGTGTTTGAATGAATGAGTCAATCAATGAATGAATGAACAAATGAATTACTGGAATAGGGAAAAATTATTTCCCTCTATTGGAAGGAATATGGGTCTGGGTTGGGATTTGTTGCTTCTTGCCTGGGACTTTTTTTTTTTTTTTTCTCCTTTTGGCAGTCAGTGAATCCAGGTGTGCCGTATATATAATTTAGTCAGGTTCTTCTGAATCTACCAGGACAGTTCTACATAATTTGGCATAATATGTTTCTCCCCTGGGGATTTGCCCAAAATGAAGTGGTTTATTAGGACTTGCCTGCAAGAAACATGAAATGAAACTAATGATTGAATTACATGACAAATGACTGTAGTGAGTAGAATGCAATTTTCTCTTCCTTAAGGGGCTGGTCTTTATAATAAGAGCTTCTATCTTTATTTGCCAGGTAATTACTGTCACTGGCATTTGAAGTTATAAAAAAGAATAAGTACATATTTAGTAATTCATGACTCAGTGAGGAACCATGCTTAACAACACAAAGCTTGATTTCTCAAATGGAATCAACTGGCAGCAGGAAACTTTTAAAAGAGGTCATATACATACACTCTCTCACATGCTCACACACTAGTTGTTGTTGAATAGCTTTCCCCCATACTCTATTGCATACATTTTTCCCTTATATTTTGATGCAGTTTTTTGCTAACAACCTGATTATACATTCCTCTGCCTCTTCCCCCAGTAAATTTTTCTAAAATTGCGGAATAGGCTGGGTGCGGTGGCTCATGCCTGTAATCCCAGCACTTTGGGAGGCTGAAGCAGGCAGATCACCTGAAGTCGGGAGTTCAAGACCAGCCTGACCACCATGGAGAAACCCCATTTCTACCAAAGATACACAATTAGCCAGGTGTGGTGGTGCATGCCTATAATCCCAGCTACTTGGGAGGCTGAGGCAGGAGAATTGCTTGAACCCGGGAGGCAGAAATTGTGGTGAGCCAAGATCGTGCCATTGCACTCCAGCCTGGGCAACAAGAGTGAAACTCCGCCTCAAGAAAAAAGAATTGCAAAATAAAAATCTTTCAGCAGATATGCTGGTAAAGCATTGCTTCTCACACTTGGCTTATACAAGGATCAGCTGAGGAGCATCCAGAGCATGTGACACAAGTGCACTGCAGACCAAGTCGATCAGAATCTCTGGGGTGGAACCCAGGCTGCCCCCATTCAGCGGTTCTGCTCATTGCTTCCCAGCAGGTACCCTTGTGTGGTACCCTGAATAGAAGTGGTAATTTCTTACTAAAGTATTTTCTGCAGGGATCCCGGGAAGGGGTGAGGAGAAGGTGCATGATGTAGGAATGATAACATGCATGGAATAGCAGCTGAGGCATAGAATAATAAATATTTTTAAATGAGTTGTTGGCTTTTTTAAGTGAAAAGAACTTTCTTGTGCATGTCTCATGCCTGTGTTATCCAAAAAATCCCATTCTGTGGGAAAATTTTAAAACATTTTATTTTTAATATATCAAGTAATATAGGAATATATTCACTTAGATTTTGTTTAAAAAGAATTCATACAAAGCAAAAGAGGCCAAAAAACTCCATTCAATCCAGCTTCTCTCTTAAAGGTAACAAGTGTTGTCAATTTTGTGTGTATCCTTCCGGCGCTGCTCCTATGTATACAGGTGTTCACAGAAAGTAGTGTGTATGGCTTTTGTTTCCATGTATGTTTACCTAGTATTCATCACCCTGCTTGTTTTCTCTGTGTTATGTCTTGGAAACCCTTCCATGTCAATGTAGGTAGCTGTATCTTCTTTCAGCTGCTATACAGTAGTCCAGTATGTGATTGGGCCATGTTTCTTTTTCTTTTTAAAAACTATTCTATTGGACACAAACAAGTTAAATTTGTTTATACTGAAAACTCAGGCGTTTTCTGAGAAAGACTTAGCAAAGAAGATTAAGTCCCTTCTTCATATCAAACTCTGTTTAGTAAAGTAGTAACATATAGTTGTGGGTTGCTCTTGTAAACAGGCTTTACTGACTGTGAAACTTCAACTTTGTAACATGTATTTTCTACTCTGCACTTGATCTTAGCCAAAAGGGTGAGAAGCGATTCTACCCTGGATAGTATATGCTGTAATTAAGTATCTCCAAGAAGGTGTTTATTAGCCATTCTGAGTAATACACTGGGAAATATTTGCATAATTATTAGAAGTAGTATCTAACTCTCATGTAGTCATTTGTTATGACATTTTGGACAAAGGACTGAATAAAACATTTTAAGTTGGTAGATTTTGTTTGTTTGTTTGCTTTGTTTTTTGAGACAGATTCTCACTTTGTTACCCAGGCTGGAGTGCTGTGGCATGATCAGGGCTTACCATAGCGTCAACCTCCCTGGCTCAAGCAATCCTCCCACCTCTGTTCCCCCCAACTAACTGGGACTGCAGGTGTCCGGCTAATTTTTAAATTTTTGTAGAGGCTGGGTACGGTGGCTCATACTTAATAATCCCAGCATCTTGGGAGGCTGAGGTGGGCAGATCACTTGAGGTCAGGAGTTCGAGACCATCCTTGCTAACATGGCAAAACCCCATCTCTACTAAAACAAAAACAAAAACAAACAAAAGGCATCAACAACAACAACAACAACAAATTAGCTGGGTATGGTGGCACACACTTGTAATCCCAGCTATTCAGGAGGCTGAGGCACGAGAATCGCTTGAACCTGGGAGGTGGAGGTGGCAGTGAGCTGAGATCACACCACTACACTCCAGCCTGGGCAACAGAGTGAGACTCTGTCTCAGTCAGTCAATCAGTCAATCAATATATAAATAAGTTTTTGTAGAGACAGGGTCTCACTATGTTGTCTCGATCTCCTGGGCTCAAGGGATCCTCTTGCCTCAGCCTCCCAAAGTGCTGGGATTACAGATGTGAGCCACTATGCCTGGCCATAGATTTTTACTGTAACTCAAGTTTATAAAATTAAAAGAGGAGGGGGAAATAGGAATGAGAGATTTAAAATAACCCTCAACTCATCCTTGAACAGCTTTGAATTCCAAAAAAAAGACATTTCCCTTGAGTGACAAACATATTACCAAATAGCATTTTCTAAACTGATAACCTTAGTGCTGTATGGAAGGTGGGATTTTTGTCTGTTCAATTTTTAAATACATAGATGTTTCATTAGTGATTTTAGGGTGATCCATGACTATAGAGAAAAATAGGGGTCATCTAATGGACCAGTTTAAAGAACTCAGCAGAATATACACTAACAAATAGAGAAGAAAAGGAAAAGAAGGCTGTGTATGCTTTTTACACCTTGACTATGCAAGAGTTAACCATTTCTAGATATGTTGTCATTCTCCTCATAAGCAAATATCTCTTCGTTTGGGTTTTTGTAATATACTCTAATAAACAAAATTGCCTCTATAAAAAAACTATGGGTCTTATACTTGTAGGTAAATGCCACTTAATTTTCAGATAATTAATCTCAGCAAATGATATTGTGGTATTTTTTTAAAAGCCAATGGAGCCATAAACATAGGCCTTTCTACATCTGTAGGTTTACTGGGGATATCCTCCTTTGGAGATTTAACCTAAGGACCATGTTAGCATTGAATCAGCCTGTGTGCCTTTCTCTGATACAGGCATCATAATTTACCTAGAAGAATATTATTTTGGAAATTTTTGGCTAGAAAAGGAAGACTGAATGGACTCTGCAACTTATATCATAGCTGTGCCCTGGGATTGATGGATTATGAAGTCATTTCTTGATTTAACAAATGTTTTAAAAGTCAGGAGGTTGACAGTTATCTAAACTACATGCAGTGCTTTTTTAAACTAGTTTCTCTTAAGCATGAGGCTGTAGCATAATGAAGTAGCAAACAAAGTGGCACCTGGGAGTAGTGTTGCAGGGAGAATTGCCATGTGGAAGAGTTTGGTCGTGAACATTAATAGTGAGTCATGAATGCAAAAGAAATGATTATGAGCCCAGTGGAGGTCAGATGCCAGAAATGAATATCCACTGCTTCCTCATGGTAATGCACATTTTATGTGTAAGTCAAGAAGGTGGTAGGCCAGACGCGGTGGCTTATGCCTGTAATCCCCGCACTTTGGGAGGCTGAGGCAGGCGGATCACAAGGTCAGGAGTTCGAGACCAGCCTGGCCAACATAGTGAAACCCCATCTCTACAAAAATACAAAAATTAGCCAGGCATGGTGGCACATGCCTGTAATCCCAGCTACTCGGGAGGCTGAGGCAGGTGAATCGCTTGAACCTGGGAGGCGGAGGTTATAGTGAGACAAGATCACGTCACTGCACTCCAGCCTAGGCAACAGAATGAGACTCCATCTCAAAGAAAACAAAACAAAACAAAACAAAAGAAGGTGGTTCGAGGGGGTGAGTTGGAAGCAATGGTATATTTCTGTTAGGTAGCCAGACTGATGAGATTGATAGGACTAGAGAAATCAAGAAGGTGGCCCTAAAGAAAAAGCCTTAGGAAAAGGATGCATTGACTTGCGATCAATGTATTTCAACCCACCAGAAGTAAACTGGTAGGTATATTTCTTTGCTGGAACAGAGGACATTCAGTTATACTTAGTACTCATTATACTGGATTCCCTCAAGATGTAATCTAAATTGTCACGGGAGTGTTTTCATGGCCCAACCTGAACTGTACTCTCAGTCGCAACCCCAAAGAAGAACTAAACCTTACAGGTTTGAAAATGCCTTATGCATGTGTCTCAAACTGTTAGAGCTAGCTGAATCTTCCCGTAACTGCCCTTAACCAAGTTTATTCTCCAATGTCCAGGTAAAATCATTTGAGGACACAGTCTCTGAGTTTGCCTAGTGGCAAAACCAGACACGCAGAGTACGGATGTAATTCTTCGCTTATTCCCTAGCAGACATACAGAAAGAATGTCCAGCAAATGATGCAGTGTCTGATCCGCAAGCTTGCTGCGCTCAGCCAGTACGAAGAAGTCCTGGCAAAAATCAGCTCCACATCCACAGATCGGCTCACAGTTCTCAAGACCAAGCCACAGTCTATACAAAGGGATATCATTACTGTCTGCAACGACCCTTACACGTTGGCCCAGCAGCTGACTCATATAGAGCTGGTAAGGCCGTTATCATCATTGCCCTTTACAACCACAGATTTGCTTTGCTTTGGCAACCAGACGATATATTTGTCAGCGGTAATGTCACAGGAGAGGTCAGAATAATCCAAGTGGGAAATCATCTGAGATAGCTGAAACATACTTTGTTTATGGATTTGAATATGAATGCTTCTGATATTCTGGGGATTCACTTGTAAATAAATACTAAACAAGGCTGAAGAGCAAAGAGTTTATTGACTTTCCTCACCTTCCGCCTCTAATCAGTTTTTCCAAAACCTGCTCAGCCTTTCACTATCTTGTGGAACATTGACCCAAGCAGAAAATTGCCTCCGCACAGACCTTGAAGATGATGAAATTATTTAGGGCTAAAGGTTTATTTTATAATCTTCATTAAAAAATGGGGGGTGGTGCCAATAGTCATAGAGGGAGTTGACAGTCCATTTCTTTTCATTTTCTTTAATACTGTTGACCTTCTGGGTTTGTGTTTCAGGAGAGGCTCAATTATATTGGGCCAGAAGAATTTGTTCAGGCGTTCGTGCAGAAGGACCCTTTGGATAATGACAAGGTAATCAGTCTACCCAAAGGTCAGCACTGAAACCAAAAATGGGATTTATCAGTCTATGATAGTGGGTATAAAGGACGGAAGTTAGAACTATATTCTGTTGTAGATTTTAAAATCAGAATTTTTTTTTTCCATCAGCCACGTCTGATTCATGGCAGTTTTCTTGAGCGAGGTCTCCAAGCTCCTTTATAATATTGCCCCATCACTAACTTGTAGCCTTTTCTTCCTCCTTATTGGGAAATTTAGTAAGACCTTTACAGCAAGTAGATGCAGGCATTTGTGGTGATGAAAATAGGAGACGAAAGCATAATGGTTTTAGCAGATTAAGAATCTGCTAAGAGAGAAGGTTCTGCCCATAATTCAACAATAGCAGGGGCAGGAAAGACAGGATGCACATCCAGCTTGCTGAGCAAGGGGCTTGACTACTTTGCCTCTTGTTTTAAGGTGAATCTCTCATGAGAGGTTTATTGCCTAGGTGCAGCCCACTATTAAAGAAAATAATGCTGGGCAGGGACTGTCAAATCAGTGTACACATATAAGAAAATTTTTTATCTCCCAGTGACCTGGAAGCATTTTGAATTGTTAGGCAAAGACTACAACACACACTGCTGAAAGCCCCCTTCTGAGAGTGGGGGCAACAGCTGCTTTCCGGCCTTAGAATAGTGTCTCCTAATACAGGAAGTGAAGAATTTGTTTTGCAGTAGAAGGCTAGTGGACTCTTTGTTTGTCTCTTTCTTTTGGAAGGAAGGAAAGAGGGGTGTAATTAGCCTCTTCAAGCTGGCCTTGAACTTCAAGATGAGATTAACTTTTTTGCCTTTGAACAATGTGTTACTCACCCTACTAAAGACCATGATGGTGTAGACTTCTGTTTATCTACTTGGGAGATACTTAGTTTGTTGCAACATTATGTTCTAAAATTTTGTCCTATGCTTAATTTTAAGAGAAAATGTTCTACTCCTCTGTACTCTTAGCCATTTTTTGCTGTATCGATTATAGCAGTTGGTATTTGCACTCTATCTGAGTCGGGATTGTTTTGGAATGCAGCCAGAATTCTTCCTCTGAATTGTGTTTCTGAAGATACAATCCAGACTAACTTAGTATCTTGGGAAGAGGGGTAGGGACACTTTTTCTTTGGAGGCCGAATCTCACTCTGCCACCCACGCTAGAGTGCAGTGGCACGATCCCGGTTCACTACAACCTCCTCCCGGGTTCAAGCGATTTTCCTGCTTCAGCCTCCCAAGTAGCTGGGATTACAGGCACCTGCCACCATGCCCAGCTAATTTTTTGTATATTTAGTAGAGACGGGGTTTCACCATGTTAGCCAGGCTGATCTCGAACTCCTGACCTCTGGTGATCCACCCACCTCAGCCTCCCAAAGTGTTGGGATTACAGGCGTGAGCCACCACGCCCGGCCTAAGGACACTTTTATAAATGCATCAGAGTACATTTCTAGGCCTCAAGTGTTTCACTGGACTATCCTAAAGGACTTTGATATTTCTGTAAGGATAATCAAGAATGCCAGTGGTTGTCTTTCTCTCTCTCTTTCTGTTGTTCTCAAAAGCTTTCCTAATCCATAAACTGAGACTAAAGGCTCGTATTTCACAAAATGAGAGTCCACTACATTGTTTTTTTCCTCTAACTCATCTGTTTACTTTGTTTTCTCTAAAGAGTTGCTACAGTGAACGGAAGAAAACACGAAACTTAGAAGCTTACGTGGAATGGTTTAATCGCCTCAGCTACTTGGTTGCTACAGAAATCTGTATGGTGAGGAAATGAATTTTCTGTCTCCTAGTTCTCAACATTATTTTTTCATACTTATTTTAGAACTGTTGGGCCTTCATACTGGATAACTGCCCTCTATTGTCTTTTACTGTGTAGCCTGTTAAGAAAAAACACCGAGCAAGAATGATTGAGTATTTCATTGACGTAGCTCGGGAGTGTTTTAACATTGGCAACTTCAACTCCTTGATGGCGATAATCTGTGAGTATTTTGTGGAGGATACATGTCGTTTATCTTTACGAATCCTGTAAAATGACCCACAGAAAATGTGCAAATAGTATGGTTTTGTTAGTACAGACTGTATTTTTTAATCCAGAGTTATTTGAGAATGCCCAAAATGCTTTAAATAGCCAAATGAGTGCAAGTATGTGTGTAATCTTTCTTAAGTATGCAAGAATTGTTGGAATGTTTTAAGTTAACCTTAGCTAAATATTCATCTACAAAGGCTTATACATAAGATATTTGTCTACATAAAGAGTTTTAAAAAGTATTTTGGCAGCTTGCATATCAAGTATTATAGAAATAATGATCCAAGACTAAGTTATCTGATTCCTTGGACAAGAGAGTGGCCTAAGAAACTGGTACATTTTCTAACTGTTCAGGCTTCTAGTACTTATCACCCACAGACCTTATTACTCTAGTATACAAACTCACTCCTCTATATCATGGAGGTTTTAACATCAGAGACCATGTTTCTTTCCTTTCATTCTATAAATATGTATGGTAACAATATGTCTTGGTTGTTCCAATTTATACTTGTTGTCTTGCCTTAATTATTGATAATAGCTTTTGATAGTAGCTCTTTCATTAAAAAGTGTCCTAGTTTGTATGATCAATTATATGGCCATCTTATAAATTTGTAGGTGCTCAATAAACATTTGAATAGAAGAATAGGCTGGGCACAGTGGCTCACGCCTGTAATCCCAGCACTTTGGGAGGCAAGGCGGGTGGATCACAAAGTCAGGAGATCGAGACCACCCTGGCCAACATGGTGAAACCCTGTATCTACTAAAAATACAAAAATTAGCTGGGCATGGTGGCACATGCCTGTAATCCCAGCCACTCAGGAGGCTGAGGCAAGAGAATCGCTTGAACCAAGGAGTCGGAGGTTGCAGCGAGCTGAAATCATGCCACTGCATTCTAGCCTGGCGACAGAGGGAGACTCCGTCTAAAAAAAAAGGAAGAAGAAGAAGAGAGTTGAGGTCTTTTCGAAGGATCAGTTTGAAGCTAGAGAGTCTACCAAATTTAGTTCAAGAATCTTAATCTAATAAATTCTCCCTTCCACCAATTTATTTTTCCATTTTGTTTACATATCATTTCCTCTTTCTCTCCCCCCATAAAAAATACTGGCCAAGTCTCAGCTTATTATTTTTCTGACTAACTCTGTGAAAATAGCAAACAGAAAGATTATCTGAATCAGGGACTGAAAGGCCCACAGTCTAGATAATAGATTACTTAATTTGCCTCTTCTACTAGTAAGAAAATGTCAAGGCAAGCCATAGCATCGGAGAAAATGTATGTAATACATAGAGCTGACAAATAACTTGTATCCAGAATCTACAAAGAACCCTACAAATCAATGAAAAGACAAATAACCCAGTAAAAAAAAAGGCCAAAAGACTGAAACAGATTTGTCATGCGAGAGGATACTGTATATTAATGGCTAACGAGTATCTGAAATGGTGTTCCACATCATTAGTCATCAGAGAAATACAAATTAAATTGCAGCAAAATATTAATACCATTGCATACACTAGAATGACTGGAATTTTAAAAACTGGTTACACCAAATAGTGTTGAAGATGTGGAACAAGTGGGGCTCTTATTGTACATTATTGGCAGGAGTATAAAATGGTACTACTACTTTGGAAAACTGTTCAGCAATTTCTTATAAGGTTAAACATATTTCTACCCTGCAATGCAGAGATTGCACACACCTACATATTTACTCCATGAAAATGCCAACACATGTCCACAGAAAGATTTGTAAAAGAACACAGCTTTATTCATAATTGCCCAAGACTGGAAACAATCCAAATGCCCATTTACAAATGAATGGCTAAATAAATTGTGGCATGTTAATACAATGAAATACTGTTTGGCAATAAAAATGAACAATTGATACATATAAGTAACATGGATTAATTTTAGAATCATTATGTTGTGCAAAATAAGACAGACACAAGAGTGGATACAGTATGATTTCATTGATACGAAGTTCTAGGACAGACAAAACGAATCTCTGGTTTTAGGCAGCCACTGTTCTGATTTCTGTGGTGGTGGGGAGGTGACCAAAGAGGGTCCAAAGGAGCTTTCTGGGGTCATGAAATGTGCTACTATATCTTGATTGGAGTGGTAATACATGGACTTACACATTAGTCAAAATTCATCTAATTATGTGTTTAAGATCTGTGTATTTTTTGTATGTAAATTGTACCTCAGTTAGGAAGCAATCTCCCACTTCTGGTCCTTAAAATATGAATGTTGGTGGCATGGAATTAATATACGTACTCATTTAGGCTGGCATGGGTTCCTTTTCTGTACAACAGCCACTGTAATATTTTTCTGAATAGTTATAGTACGTAAAGTATCATTCAGGAGAGGCAGCATGGCTTGTTGGAATGAGTGTGGGTTATGGTGTTAGCTCCATGTGAGCTTCCATCTCTGTTACTTGTTAACTGGATATCCTTGGGAAAATTTCTTACTCCCTGGAACTTTAGCATATTCTTTTAAGAATGTTGAGGGGATGTATGAGATAGTACACGCAAAGCGTGTTTGACACATTAGTTTCTAGGTCAAAGGTCAGCAAACTATGACCCGTGGGTCAAATATGGTCCGTCACTGGTTTCTTTATGACCAGTGAGCTAAGAATGGTTTTTATCTTTTTAAATGATTGAAAAAAATGAAAATAATAATACTAACATTTCTAACATGTGACTGTAATATAAATTCAGATTTCAGTGTACATAAACAAAGTTTTACTGGAACACAACCATAACCATTTGTTTATGTAGTTATCTACATAACTGGATGGTGGCTGTTTTTGCATGACAGTGATAGTGTCTTGTAGTGATGACACAGACCATATGGGCTGAAAGCCTAAAATGCTTACTCTCTTTCCCTTCATAGAGAAAATGTATTCACCTCTGCACAGAGTCAGTGATAGCATTTATGCTGTTTCTCAACTCAGAATTTGCAAACAAAAAAAGTTATAAAATTGGAGTTTGTTACTTACTAATTTTAGAATTCTCACTTAGTAATGAAAGTATTTTAGAAGTATGTGTTTATCGTTTTTCTTATTTCTCTCTTTCAATTTTCCTTTTTTCTCCCCCTCCATTTCAAATGGGAAGCTGGTATGAATATGAGCCCAGTCTCTCGACTAAAAAAAACTTGGGCCAAAGTGAAGACTGCAAAATTTGACATTCTTGAGGTATGTGAAGCTGATGTTTTGCTGTTAAGTAACACTTTACACCTGGAAAGTGGAATTCCTTTATGTGGTCTTGCCTCTCCATCAGACTACGACAGAGGAAAAAGCCCATCTATCTTTACAGACCCAGGGAAAGGAAAGTGGGTAGAATTGGAGGGGAAAATAAATCAGGTTATGTACTGGTTGCTTTATAGGTAGAGATGTCCATTCTGGGGTTAATTGACTGGGGAAATAGTGACCTGTCAGTCACATCACCTTATATGTCAGAATGGAATTTTGGTCCTGAGCAGTTGAGAGTTTTACTTCACTGTGAGCCTATTAGCTTCATTTATCTTCAGTGTCTCAGGGGAAGGGTTCCCCATCCCTACAGTAACATTTGTTCATCATCCTTTCAACAAATTTAGCTGACCTGTGAAAAAGCCCTTCCCATACAATTCTGAGGATAGTAAGAATTGTGGGCCAGGCGCAGTGGCTCACGCCTGTAATCCTAACACTTTGGGAGGCTGAGGCAGGAGGATCACCTGAACCCAGGAGTTCAGGACCAGCCTGGGCAACATGGCGAAACCCCACCTCTATAAAAAATACAAAAAATTAGCCAGGTGTGGTGGCATGTGCCTGTAGTCCCAGCTACTTGCAGGGCTGAGGCAGGAGGATTGATTGAGCCTGGAAGGTGGGAGCTGTAGTGAGCCAAGATCACACCACTGCACTACAGCCTGGGTGGCAAAGTGAGACCCTGTCTCAAAAAAAAAAAAAAAAAAATCGCGTGCAAGAGTATGTGTATTTGAATCATATTCATCTCAGTACTACCTTGGTATATCAGTGCTTCGAATTACTATCTTTGGAGACAATAAGAAAGTGTTCTCTCCCAAGTTTTCTCCCAAATTGGAAATTACCATTATATATATAATGTTATGATCTATTCATACAACCTAATACATTTATTTTCCTTCTTGCAAAATGATATGCTTCAATTATTTGTGCATGATTTGTCACTACAAAGTGTTGGATCACTATGCATGGCTAACCATCAACGGGCCCGTTGACCTTCAGATGCAAACAGGAAATTTTTCTGATGCTGGTGTTTGACTCTTATTTGTTTTACATCTAAGCTCAACAATTAGCCTAGAAAGAATGCGGTTTAGGTTTAACATTATTGAAGCTGACATCAGCTCGCATAATTACACCAAATCTCAGGAAAGAAAACACTTGTGTCATGTGCATTTGTGTGTATGAGAAGGATAAATCATATTCCTACTGAGTTTCCTAACTTATTTTGAATTTTGTATATAGCTAAATATGTGATCTTATAAACTTCCTACAGAAGTTTACAATAAATAAATAGTTAATATTCTTCTCTCTTTTATCTATAGCATCAGATGGACCCTTCAAGCAATTTCTATAATTATCGAACAGCTCTTCGTGGGGCAGCACAAAGGTCTTTAACTGCTCATAGTAGTAGAGAAAAGGTATGCACTTAAAGAAGTATCTTTCTTATGGTAGAGTTGCTGTGTTTTATGCTGAAATGCTATGTGAACTACGACACTGAAGTTTTTTTACTTGTTAAGATTTAAGAGAGAGACATGTGTACTCTAGAAATGATACCACTTGACACACAGAGAAGGAGAATGCTACCAGAAAGTTTGTTAGACTGGATATTGCTGTGTTACTATTACATTACTTAAATAATTACTCTGTAGTGCCTCTTAATTGTGTTTCAAGCAATACATTAAGTCATATGTTAAGATGACTCATAGCATTAGAGAGTAATTTAGTTTAATGGTTTAATGGAAAATAGACATTTAAGCTCTGCACAAGGTAGCCGACTTAATATAACCTTTTCTCTTAAAAGAATTAGCTTACCTCCCATGGTTAAGTCATTTATTTTCAGAAAGTGGGTTAGTTGCTATAGCATTAGGTGTGCTGTTACTAATTGGATTATGGGGGTAGCAGAAAAAGTACAGGGGTCATGTCTGAGAAATTAATGGTCCTTTCTCACTCTACCCTACTCTTAAAACAAGTTAGTACCATCCTGCATCTACCATATTCTTGATTCTGAGGGTCCTTTCTTGGCACATTTTGGTGTCATATTTCTTTACAGAGGAAGGATAGGCTGTTTCAACATTTGGCAGTCATGTTATTTGAGAGGTGAATACTTAGTTATGGTAACTGGGTTAATGAAGGTTGCTTGATGGAGGTTATTTTCGGTTTAGATTCCATCTGTCTTTTAACTTAAACTATATCTTCCACAAATAAAAGAAAATGAGGTAAAAAACATTTCATGGCTTCCCAATCACGTCCCCTGAAAAAGGTTCGGCCTCAATGATCTGAAATAAAAATAAACACAAAACCCCACCTTTAATAAATGCGAACTTGGTTCTCAATCAGATCTGAAATATCAGTTCTAACAATGTTTGAAGGATATTGTAAATACTTCAAATTTTTTATTTAAATAAAGAAACTTATAAGATCAGAGGGGGTATGAAGCAGAGATGACAGTCTTACTGTAGCCTGACAGAGTTTGCCAGCTTTTAAGTTTTACTTGCTCAATCCCAGTACTCTTGTGATTAGATTGAGAAAAAAATCTAATATGAGGTCTTTTAAGCTTCAAACAGTGAGCACATGTGGGAGGATTGCAGTACACTGAAGAGTAAGTAAGCCCACTGAAGGGGCTGTATGTGGCCTCATTCACCTTCTCTGTGTTGCAGGGCAGGCAAGGTTCTCTCTGCATGGGCTTCAGTGAGGGCTTGGTGGGCTCTGCCCCAGGGAGGAGGCTGTGGAGTCATATCTGTGAGTAGGGAGCTGCATTGTTGGCCAAAGAAATTCTGAAGTGCAATCCCTCCAAAATATCTCAGTTGTGGAATTCTAAGTTTTTTTCTACAAAAAGTCCCAAGTATTTACCCTTCACATCATTTAATAAATTATGTCTGCTTTAGTTTTGTTTTGCTTTAAACAGGTTCTATGTGAACATATAAATTGTACTCTGTAGTTCATAAAACAAATGAAATCACAGCCATTCAATTATTAAAAAGTCAAGAAACAATAGATGCTGGCGAGGCTGTGGAGAAATAGGAACACATTTACACTGTTGTTGGGAAAGTAAATTAGTTCAACATAATTTACATAATTATGGAAGACAGTGTGGCAATTCGTCAAGGATCTAGAACCAGAAATACCATTTGACCCAGCAATCCCATTCCTGGGTATATACTCAAAGGAATATAAATCATTCTGCTGTAAAGACACATGCACACATATGTTTACTGCAGCAGTATTTACAATAGCAAAGACATGGAACATTTGGGTTGGTTCCAACCCAAATGCCCATCAATGATAGACTGGATAAAGAAAATATGGTACATATACACCATGGAATACTATGCAGCCATAAAAAGGAATGAGATCATGTCCTTTGTGGGGACATAGATGAAGCTAGAAGCCATCATCCTCAGCAAACTAACACAGGAACAGAAAACCAAACACTGCATGTTCTCACTCGTAAGTGGGAGTTGAACAATGAGAACACATGGACACAGGGAGGGGACAACACATAACTTGGGCCAGTAGGGGGCTGGGGGGGCAAGGGGAGGGAGAGCATTAGGACAAATACCTAATGCATGTGGGGCTTAAAACCTAGATGACGGGTTGATAGGTGCAGCAAACCACCATGACACATGTATACCTATGTAAGAAACCTGCACGTTGTGCACACGTATCCCAGAACTTAAAATTTAAACAAAAAAATCACAGCCATTTAAAAAAATGCCATCTCTTTTTACAGTTGGGCTCAAAGGCTAGGAGTGAAAGCATTTCTAGTTAAATCTACCTTTTATTCAAGAAAATTGGGATTCTTGGCCGGGCGTGGTGGCCCACGCCTGTAATCCCAGCACTTTGGGAGGCTGAGGCGGGTGGATCACCTGAGGTCAGGAGTTCGAGACCAGCCTGACCAATATGGTGAATCTTTTGTATCCTTTTAAATCTCAAGTTTGTGTGGTCAGAGTGGCACATCTCTAGGTACCTAATAGAGAACAAACCAAATGTGTCTTCCACACAGCAGCCCTTAAATATTCTTTAAATAGCTGTTTGTTTTTTTTGTTTCTGTAGGTACCTGTGTCTCCAGGTTTTTAACCATTTCTCATATGATTACATGGCTTTAAATCCTCTTGCCATTCCAATTCTGCTCCTGTGAACTTACTTGGTCCTATTTATCAGCATTCATTTCTAGGTGTGGAACTGGCAAAACCCTTATGGTGCAGTTGCTGGGTCTCTGAATTAAGAATATTTTGAAAGGAAATTCGAAAATATTATTACCTGAGAAGTTCTCCTGCTAAAAACATCATTGACAAGACCTTCAGGAAAATGAACTTTTGCTTTCTCCTACTAATAATGTGTACATTCACTTAGCTCATGGAAATCTGAAGTCCTTATAATCTGATTTTCACTATATTAGATTTGTGTAGGGGCTACAGATCTGAAGGGAATTATCCATGAATAAATGAGAAGTTGAAGCCTGCAAGGCTTCTTTCTTGCATGCAGGCATAAGGAACAGAGCAGTAAAATATCCTAAGTAAGATTATTTCTATTTCTATGAAAGAGTGATTGAGATAGTCAATAGTGGAGCATCTTGCAGGCACCCCTGAATGCAAAAATCATGTAAGGTAATAGCCTCTGCCATCTAGAATTTATAATCCAGCTATAGGCACCTGGCGTGAATTTATGAGAAGTTTAAATATCAATAAGAAACAGTAAATGATCAGCACTGCATGAATCTCACAGCTCAGCACCAAAGAATAGAGCACAAAAATAAAGTTATTTTTTTAAAAGCTGCTACAATATACAAATATTACATCTTGATTATAATTTTATTCTTATTTCCCTGGGGCTGTCTTATGATGATGTATCCTTATTATCCTCTAAGTGCATATTCACCTTAGACACAGTAGCACAGAAGACAGTATGAAGATGAATGAATATGGCTGTCTTCCAGTAAAACTCAATGGCCACTGTCATTTGAATTTCATATAATTTTCATGCATCTTGAAATATTATTATTTTTTTATTTTTTAGCTACTTAACAAATGTAAAATGTGTGACTCCTAGGCAATAAAAAAGAGGCCTGAGGGCCACAGTTTGCCAACTCCTAGCTTATAGCACCAGGAAATTCTGAAGCGAAATTTTTTGCTGTTGTCTGGCAGCATCCAAAGTCCAGCATTCCCATTCACAAATAGTCTTTCAGAGAAGCAAGGTTCAGTTGTACTTTTACTATTGTTACTATGCTGTTTAGTTCTAACATAATGGAAAATAGCTAATCACGTTAGAAGGAAAGGTAATGAGATCTTTACTAATTTGGCTTTAGAGACTGTCCGAGATAATAACAAATGATTAAAAGTATATTTAGGTGAGATGTCAAAAGAGATCAAAACAGAAGATTCATTTTGGTTATTTTCAGAAATCAATGAAACAAAAATAATCAAAACTTGTTTTTTAAATGACTTTGGTGAAAATCTGAATTTTTCCTTAGAAGGGAATTGATACTTAATATTTTTGTGTGTGAGCCCAAAAGTATGTTTTCTGTTCACTCAATATAGAAGTACCACCTGAGTCATAAGCTTAGGGAACTTAAAAGATCTGACTTTGGGGAAACAAGATAGGCCCACGATCGGTGTTTAGTGGATTTTTTACATTGTAGGAAATTTAGGATCTTTAAAAATATGTTGACATTTGAGAGAAAATGGAAATTACTGTATGTGAGCCTTTTTCTCTGTTTCTTGTAGGTTTAGTATGATTTGGGGTACTTACTGAGAGATTATTGCTTTAGGTTAATTAATTAAATACCACCTCATCAAGCCAAAGAATTCAGATGGGAAAGTATTTTTAAAGGTTTATTGTTTTTAAACAGCTATTAATTTTAATTTATACATTCATATTTCCTCCTTCACCTGGGGCATATTTGTCTCAAAACATATTATGCAAGGTACTTCTTAGGTGATTTCCTATGAGAGCAGGTGCTAACTTGTTCATCATACACAGGCTAGGTTTACAATAGAAAGTTTGTAGCAACTATTCTAAACTGAACTCTCACATTATCTTGAGGAATGTCTTCAAGAAGAAATAAAATGTTTATCTAAAAAAAAAGTTTATCTTAAATGTAGAAGTCTAAATAATAAGCAGTACAGCTTCTAGCAGGGAGATGGGTCATGCATCTTAAAATCTTGGTACATGGCTGGGCTTGGTGGCTCATGCCTGTAATCTGGGCACTTTGGGAGGCTGAGATAAGAGGATTGCTTGACCCCCATGAGTTAGAGACTAGCCTGGGCAACATAGTGAGACTCCATCTCTACACAAAATTTTTAAAAATTAACTGGGTGTGGTGGCACGTGCCTGTAGTCCCAGGTATAGGAGGGTGAGGCTAGAGGATTGCTTGAGCCTAGGAGTTCAAGGCTGCAGTAAGCCATGATTGCACCACCGTACTCCAGCCAGGGTGACAGAGAAAGACCTGTCTCTTAAAAAAAAAAAAAAAAAAAAAAAGGCCAGGCGCGTTGGCTCACGCCTGTAATCCCAGCACTTTGGGAGGCCAAGGCGGGCGGATCACAAGGTCAGGAGATCGAGACCATCCTGGCTAACACGGTGAAACCCTGTCTCTACTAAAAAATACAAAAAAAAAAAATTAGCCGGGCATGATGGTGGGTTCCTGTAGTCCCAGCTACTCGGGAGGCTGAGGCAGGAGAATGGCATGAACTGGGGAGGTGGAGCTTGCAGTGAGCAGAGATCGCACTACTGCACTCCAGCCTGGGTGACAGAGCGAGACTCCATCTCAAAAAAAAAAAAAAAAAAAAAAATCGGTGCCTGCAATGATAGGTATTCTTTTTTTTTTTTTTTTTTTTTGAGAGGGAGTCTCGCTCTGTCGCCCAGGCCGGACTGCGGACTGCAGTGGCGCAATCTCGGCTCACTGCAAGCTCCGCTTCCCGGGTTCACGCCATTCTCCTGCCTCAGCCTCCCGAGTAGCTGGGACTACAGGCGCCCGCCACCACACCTGGCTAATTTTTTGTATTTTTAGTAGAGACGGGGTTTCACCTTGTTAGCCAGGATGGTCTTGATCTCCTGACCTCATGATCCACCCGCCTTGGCCTCCCAAAGTGCTGGGATTACAGGCGTGAGCCACCGTGCCCGGCCCAATGATAGGTATTCTATTAACATTTTGCTAAGGGGTTGCTAAGTGAAAGGCAAGAGTTCTTTTAGGTATTTTTTCTTTCATAATAGCTAGAGTTTTCAGATTTTATTGCATACTACTGCAATGAGAAAAATAGGAAAAATTGTAATAAAAGTACTAACCTATTCACTTCCCATTGCTACTTGTCCTTGCTGTGCTTTGGTTATAGCAGTTGTAGTATAAGCAAAATTATGTAAGGGAAGAAATTGCTGTTGTGTAAGAAACAAAACACTGTACCTTAATTCTTTGTGGCCTTTCATATAATCAAAAGTTAATGTTGTTCATTAATCTTGTGTATTTTTATGAAAGGCTAAATATTTGTTTGCCCAGACCAACCAGAATCTTTTGTTTCCTCTAGATTGTGATACCATTCTTCAGTCTCTTAATCAAAGATATTTATTTCCTCAATGAGGGTTGTGCCAACCGCCTTCCCAATGGCCATGTCAATTTTGAGGTGAGTGTGATAAAGTAGGATACAAAAATCCAAGCACAAGGAGAGGGGCAGCTTCTCCAGCACCGCATTCCTGGCCAGGCAGCCAAAGCCAATTCTGCAGTTTCAGAACAAATTATCTCTTTCCATATTATTTTGTTAGAAATTAACAATACCAAGTAGAAGAGAATAGCTGAGCCATTATGATGATGATTATTACTATCTGAGGGAACTTGAGAACATTTTTTTACCTCACAAATAGAGTTTTATTAAATGAAGAAAACTATTTAATTCAGAAGATTAAATACCAGAAAGTAGCTGCAGTAGCTCACGCCTGTAATACCAGTGCGTTAGGAGGCCAAGATGGGAGGATTGCTTGAGGCTAGGAGTTTGAAACCAGCGTGGGCAACAGTGAGACCCTGTCTCTGCAAAAAATTAAAATATTAGCTAGTCGTGGTGGTTCGCACCTGTAGTCCCTGCTAGTAGCAGGGAGGCTGAGGCTGAAGGATTGCTCGAGCCCAGGAGTTTGATGTTGCAGTGAGCTATGATTGCACCACTGCACTCTAGCTTTGGTGACAGAGTGAAACCCTGTCTCCTTAATAAAATAAGAAGGAATCATTTCAAATGGTATTGCCTCTCCCAAACTCATAATTATTTTTTTATGATCACCTTTATATTCTTTTTTTACTTATCTTCCAGAAATTTTGGGAACTGGCCAAACAAGTGAGTGAATTTATGACATGGAAACAAGTGGAGTGTCCATTTGAGAGGGACCGGAAGATCTTGCAGTATCTGCTCACAGTACCAGTCTTCAGTGAAGATGGTAAGGCCATTCAATAGGAGCTACCACTAGCATCCCCAAATCCTTCATTTAGGAAATTAGTATAGAAATGCTTGGTTACTCATATAGTAATGAGGCCTGTCCTCTGATCTGTTCCATGTTAAGAGTTTTCTGTTTCACAGAAAATGTATGATTTGTCCCTAAAATATTTGCACTTAATATTCACCTATAAACAGTAGGTTTCTGTGTTTAAGTATTCTTTATAATACCAGATTTGCACAGCTATGGGCACAAATGGGGTTATTGAAGAATTTTTTTTTTCTTGCTTGAGCTTACTTGAATAGACAAAAGGTGTTTTGTGGTATGTTGATAGTCAGTGTAATTTGGAGAAAAATAACAAAAACAGTAAATTGCTACCCCCTGCCGTTTAAAAAAGTACTGGAACATTTTGACCTGTTAAAACATTAGGGAATTTGAAGCAGAAAAAGAGATTAGATACAGAAAAAAATCATCAGAAGTGAGCTCATAAAATACTTAGAGATTTATTTTATTGATTTGTTATATCCTAATATTACAGGAATTAATAGCACCTATTAACAGTTTCTCATAGTAGATTGATAGTATTTACAATAATGACTTTTTTTTTTTTTTTTAAGACAGCAACTCACTCTGTCACCCAGGCTGGAGCGCAGTGGCACGATCACAGCTCACTGCAGCCTCAACCTCCTGGGCTCAAGCAATCCTCTCACCTTAGCCTTCCAGATAGCTGGGAGTACGGGCGTGCACCACCATGCCTGATTAATTTTTTTCTTTCTTTTTTTTTTTTTTTCTTGTAGAGACAGGGTTTTTCTGTGTTGCCCAGGCTGGTCTCCAACTATTGGGTCACATGATCTGCCCACAGCCTCTCAAACTGCTGAGATTATGCCACCACACCCAGCCAGGAGAACATTTTTAATTAATATCACCTATGCCAGAGGGGATTTGTTTTTAATCTCTATAAAGAGGACTAATAACAAACTTTTGAATTTTTAAATGAAGAGTCTTTCTGATTTAAAAAGGAAGAAAAATATTAGTAGAATGGAAAATTGGTCTAGAAAATTTTTACCTAGGCTTTTTACCTAGTAAAGAGTTTTAAAAAAAAGAAAAAAGGAAAAAACAACTCAGACTACCAGGAAAGAACTCCCACCCCTTTCTTTGTAAAGAACATTAAGTCTGAGTATACGACAGCATCATATGGCTTACATTTTATAAGCTTTTTTTTGCCTTATACATTCTTAGGTAATTAAGTGCATTTTTGGCTTAGAAGCCCTTGGGTTTTCATTGAGATGGTCAGTCAGAGGCAAAGTGATATTCTGTGTTCTTCATGAAACAGTGAAGCTTCTTGGTCATGACTTGATATTTTGAAGAGTATTTTGCTATGGAGTTTGGCTCAAGTCGAACAAGGGTGGTGGTAGATAATATATCAGGAGAAGGCTTTAATGTTAATGCACTTTCTTTTGTTTGATTGTAGCTCTCTACTTGGCTTCTTATGAGAGTGAAGGACCTGAAAATCATATAGAGAAAGACAGATGGAAGTCTTTAAGGTGGGTCTCATTCTTCTCATTGCTGCACAAGTCTGAAGGAAATTGGCTTTCCTTGAAGAAAGCCACATGCGTTCTATAGGAAGCTGCTGTCTATCTGTTCCAAGTCCTCTGCACTTTATCTCTTGTACACCAAATCTTTGTGGCTCAGAATTCTCACTACCATCATTCTGCTTTATTGTCTTTCATTTTTTTTATATTGGCAGATATACAGTGACTGTTCTTTTTCTCTCCCATTATTTAATAGAATGAGGAACTGAGCCATAGTATGTTAAAAAAAATGCATTGACTTTGTCTAAAATATCAGAAGTTCAGACTTTATTTCTGAAGAGTTCTTCTGACACTAAAATTTTATTTAACCTGAGATAAAGAAAGAAGTACTAGTAGGCTTTATAAAGTTGGGTTTGCCACTTTCCAAGTGGATCTCAGTCCCCTCTTTGTTTGAGAGAGTTGGGACTTTAAACATAATCTGGAGATTTTTCAGATTTACAACTTTTGATATCCTATGAGTATGTTTGAAGAAAACTAGAATAGGGTTAAATTTGTATTTTAAGCATTTGAGATACTTTAATAGGCAAAAGCAGCCCAGGGTATAATATAATCAAACTTGTTATCATTATAGTCCTACTGAGAAACTCAGAATGTATACCTTTTTGTACTAGGGTTTACAAGCACATTTTCTCTTATTTTTGTGGTCCCATAATCATTTGAGAGCCTTCATTATACTTGATATTAGGCTAGATTTCATGAACCAGGATATCTAAGATATACTTGGTTTTGTGTGGTTGTGTTTGTTTCAAAGGAAAGCTTAGGCCTTCTTTGTACCTCCCAGTGATGAGGGATAAGGTATGAAGGCATTGGAATTCTTATCCTTAGGATATCATAGTAATTGGTGAAGGATTGGAGATGTTCCTTGTATGCCCAGACACAAACATAAAGAAGGTTTGGCTAATGCCTAAAGCCATGGGATATAACAGGCTTGTTGGGCTGATGCCTATATATATATGTACAGAACTAATAATGCATTGACTAATTATATATATATATATATTATATAAAATATATATAATTTTGTGCCTGGCAGTGGCACATTTCAATTAAAATTTTGTATTACTCTGTGTTTGTATTAAAATATTTCACTGTGCTATTTAGTATTATTCATGTGCAAAACATGAGCCTCAGAGTGCATATCTTGCTGGATAAAAGATTTGAGAATTACTCCTTTTAGTTATCCTTTTTTGATACATTTTGCCTTCCATATGTCTCCTTTTTAATCCCTCCTTTCTGTATTTTTAAAAACAGTAAGTTTGGTGGGGTCTCTGGGTATAGCTTAGCTTTTGTTACTTTTCTTGTAGATTATTTTAAAAATTGGTAAGCAGATTGGCTACACATAAATGATATCTGGTATCTGCATTACCTGTGGTCTCCAGACATTTTAAATTAATCCAGACCTACCTACAAAATTATTTTATAGTTCTTTTTATTTTATGACATATTAACTAATGGTTAGATTGGAAAGGTTCATAAGTCAAAGGTTTGACTTTAAAAGCTAAAGATTGAACTGTATAATGTCTTCCCACGTCTGTACTGTTCACATAATATATGACATCTAACATTTGATTGTGAAATGGGAAAAGTTCCCTTGTGCCCCTCCCAGGGCATGCGATGGGGGTGTGGTGTGGCTCCCTTCTTCAGTGCCCTGCTGCTCAAACCTCTAGAGGAGCATACCAGTGGGCAGGCTGTGGGGCTCCGACCCCACGGCAGTGTCTAGGGGTGAATGTTTATAGCTCTTGAAGCCCCAGTGGGCCTGTATTACAAGGCGCTCCCTTATTTTGCCATCTATAGGTGGCTTGCGTTAACCGGCTCAATTAGACCCTCTACCTTATGGCAAGGACAGAGGGCTTTCTGTATCTCAGCATTCTTGCCTCGGTGTACTGGAAGAATCGGGTCGCACATAGGCTTGGAAAATGAGTGCAAAGCTTTTTGTTTGTTTGTTTGTTTGAGACGAAGTCTCTCTCTGTCGCCCAGGCTGGAGTGCAGTGGGAGGATCTCGGCTCACTGCAGGCTCCGCCTCCCGGGTTCACGCCATTCTCCTGCTTCAGCCTCCCAAGCAGCTGGGACTACAGGCGCCCGCCACCACGCCCGGCTAATTTTTTGTATCTTTAGTACAGACGGGGTTTCACCATGTTAGCCAGGATAGTCTCGATCTCCTGACCTCGTGATCCGCCCGCCTCAGCCTCTCAAAGTGCTGGGATTACAGGCGTGAGAGTGCAAAGTTTTATTGAGTGGAAGTAGCTCTCCGCCTATGGGGGAGCCCAAAGGGAGATGTTTTTACACTGGAGTGGGGCCACTCAGTGGCCCAGGCTCTCCTCCGACTGCGCCTGCCAAACTTCGCCTCGTCCCGCCAGTAAGTGGCCTGCCAGTGTGCTGGCGTATGTCGGTGTGCCCATCTGCCAGCGTGCTCCCCTCAGTGTCCTCTCGACGACCAGCCGCTCCTCAGACTGCCCCTGCCAAACTCCGCCTCATCCCGCCAGTCTGTCCTGCGTGCTGGCATCTTTCGGTGTGCCCTGCCGGCGTGCCCTTCTACCAGTGTGCTCCCCTCAATGTCCTCTCGACGACTCGCCACTTGCGTCTTCTTCAGCAGATGTGTTCCTCACCACGTCCAGCTACTTGTGTGTCTGTCTGCCGGCGGTCTCGGGTTTTTATAGGCCCAAGATGGGGGCGTGGTGGGCCAGGGTGGTCTTGGGAAATGCAACATTTGGGCAGGAAATGTCTGTCCTCACCTAGGTCCGTGGGGGTTGAGCCCTAGCCAGGGACCTGCCTTTCTCTACCCAGCACTTCCCTTCCCCATTCCGTATCATTTAAAGGGACCGTGCTCTTCCCCTCCCAGCACTCCCGTATCAATTGGTTGAAATGAAAATTATATTCTTTGGTATAAAAGACAGTTTCCACGTTAAAATTGTTTTTTAAGGAGCTTTGAAGAACAGCTCTCATCTGTGTTGGTGTTCAAGCCACACACTCTGCCTTTTCCATATCCTGTCTGTTCTCATGGCCCAGCTCCAATGCCTCCCCCGTCCCTGGCCCGTTTTTCCCTAGAAAGAATTTCTCCAGAACTCATACACTCAGGAGGCACTCTTCCTCTCTCGTTACCAGCCATGTGGTTTTGTGTAGTGTTTGTGGTTTTCTCTATTGCTATGTAAGCCCCTTGAGGGCAAGCACAGGGTCTTCCCCTAATGTCTGCCCCAGCTCTGGACACAGTGTCTTGCTCTCTATTACTCGTCAGCCCATGCTCCTGTAGTGTCATTGAATGGTACTGGGTTATCGCAGGTGTTGGCCAAGGCATAGCAACCACGAAGAAGTTAAAACAAAATAAAACAGGCTATTATAATTTACAAAATACATACGTTAAGTGGATACTAAGATTAAGCATAATCATCCCTTGGTATTTATGGGGGATTGGTTCCAGGACCTCCTGCAGATACCAAAATCTGAGGATGCTCTAGTCCCTGGTATAATAAAATGAAACTTTCTGTTGCTGTTGTTTTCAGAAATATTCTTTTCTTGTGGCCATCAGTCTTACTGATTCAATAACACATAACCTGTTAGGGTAAACTCAAAATAATAAATAGATAATACTTGAATATAGCCATATGCATCCTCTCTTATACTTTAAGTCATCTCTAGATTACTTATAATACCTAATATAATGTAAATGCTATGTAAATAGTTGTTGTACCATAAATCATCTCTAGATTAATTTCAATATCTAATATAATGTAAATGCTATATACATAGTTGTTATACCATATTACTTAGGGAACAATGGCAAGAAAAAGAGTCTGTATATATTCAGTACAGACCCATATTTTTTGTTTCAAATATTTTTGATCTGCAGTTGATTGAATCCACAGGTGCAAAACCCACAGATAGAGAGGGCTGACTATATTCTGGAATCATTGTACCTACCTGAAAACTTTTATACATTAGCTTTGAAGGCAGTAAGATATTTTTACATAGATGCTTTTCTTGGTGGCCCTAGAGCCATTCATTGCAGACACGTAGATTCATCAGTGGCAGATACACCTCTGACGGCAGACACCCTTATTGTCAACTATTGTTTAAACTCTCCCAGTGTTCATGGAATGTGTTGTGAAGATGCTTATATCTACCAAGTAAATCTATCTGTGATAACCTGTACCTAAAAGCTCTTTATCATTAATGATCTTTGCTTTTTTTGTTTTTGTTATAATATAAACCTACGCAAGATATAGATTTATCTGTTTAAGCTTTTGCCATCTCCATTAATAAATGTTTGTTTTTTAAGTGACTGGCAGTTTTCCCAGAGAGCCAATAGGACTTAAAAGCTTGATTTTTTTTTTCCTGGTTTAACTTTGTAAAATCAAACTTAAAACACAGGAAAGATAAAATTAGTATTACACAAGGCATTTTCATCCTAGTTCAAGTAGTCTGTTACATTCTGTCTTAGGTTGTGTTGTTTTTATTACTCAGGTCGAGCCTCTTAGGCAGAGTTTAACACATGGGAGCTGCCTGCCTGCTGCTGCTGCTGCTTCCTGCAGATCATGGAGGGGCTGGCCTTTGTTTTCTGGCATCTCGTACCACGAACACTCATGAAGACCCTGCAGTCATTGGAGCACCCGGGTCAGCAAAGCACACAAGCTCACTCAAGACCAGATGGAGAACTTATTTCCTGCAGCTGACAGATAGACTCAGATTTTGTGAGACTGAAATGTTCACTGAAGACACTTGAGAAAGAATCCTCTAAAAATCCCGGCTCTGCACATTATTCATCTCCTGGAATTTCCATGTGAATCACAGCTCTGCACCTGGATGGAGTTTTCTTTTGTGTGTGTGTGTTTTTTTTAATTTGGTTGAACATTTGCTGCTAATGGGACTTGCCCAGCTGAGTGCTGGCTCTGAGGAAGCCCACGTTTCTTTTGTTAACTTAAATGAAGAAAGGAGTGGAGGGAGGGGATCTAAAACCCCCCCGTTTAGATCCCAAACCTTAGCTCAATCAGTATTGCCAGAGAGGGGTAAGACTGGTTGGAAGCTGACTGCAGACTTTGTTTCCCCTTAGTATGTGCTGTGTTGTAAATTTTTCTCCTCCCTCCTCCTACAAGGTTTTGAGTTGGCTGCTGGTTAGCAAACTCCTTTTTACCCATATAAGTTATTTAATATAATAATGAAGCTCAACACTGTGGTAGGAAAATAGCCACTAGAAAGAAAATAAAAAGCAGAGTTTGTCATTGGACTGCTTAACATGCTAGAAGGACTTTTTTTTTTTTTTTTTTTTTTTTTTTTTGCTCTTCTGAGCTGTTTACAACTGACCACTGTGTTCCACAGATGTATTTTTCAATAGCTTTTTGTTACTTAGTTTTCCATGATGCCTGTTATTTTTCTCTTGTAAATTTAAATGAGCTGACTTTAAGGATCTTGGGAAAACCCATGGCATAATTACAATTTTCTTTTTAATCGACTTTTCATTACTTTTGGGAGTCTGTTGGTAACTAAAGATGTCAACAAAGAATAAATTGGAGAAGTTACCTGTCCCCACTATAGCAGTAAACAAAACAGATGAAAAACACCTTGCTGTTAACTCAATGGTTGATCTAATTGTGAAATCGTTCACCTTGTTAAACATCTAAGTAAGTCTGTAGTCGCTCTGCAAACAGCCATTATATTTATTTACTCTAGAAGAAACTGTAGAGTAGTAATTCGTGCTAATGAGAAAAACAAAATACCATGTTCAAAACAGATGTATTTGAAAACTTAATGACATGGTTCCAAAAACTAGAGCATGTATGTATGCTGTGCATCATCTCAGCAGACCTAAAATATCCCCAAGTTGTCCCTTTACAGCCATCAATATATTTTACACTCTGCGGCCAGGAGTTGTGGCGTCTTTCTTTTCTTTTATGGGTGGAATTGTTGGGGGCGGGCATGGGCTATAATCACAGTGGATCAGTTCAAGAGACTGGCTAAGAATGTATCTGAGGAAGTTATCTTAACAGTTTGTGCATGGGCATTTATTTTTTAAAAAAGAATGATAGTATTATTTGCCAGGCATTTTCTAAGTGTTTAGCATAGATTCATCTCTACCTATTAGGGGTGGAAATAATAATAACTTGTACAAGGCCACATAGCTAATGAGAGGCACAGATACTTGAAATGGGCCTTCTAATTCCAGACCTCAAGCTTTAAACCACACCACCACAGCATCTCAAACTTCAATATCCTTGCAAATTACCCGGGAATCTTTTTTACATGCAGATGCAGATTCTGTCGGTCTGGGATGAGGCTCAGGGAATGCTGATGCTGCTGGTCCTGGGATCCCGCTCAGAGTAGGAAGACACTTCTGCCTCATGATACCTGTTGAGATTTTAATTTATGGGGGTAGCTGAGTGATGACACACAGAGGCCAGTGCCACTGAAAGCTTTATATTATTCAATTTCCCCAGAGAAAGGGCACATGCCATGCCATGCAGGGCCACAGGGGAAGCACCGGTGTCGGTCGGGGGCAGAAGCAGGAGCAAGAAGAAAGCATAGGCTTTGACTGAGGTTTCTGCAGGGAGGCAAGGCAGAGCAAGGCCAACAGTTTCCAATTGGCAAGTCTGAATAATTCCAGCAGGCTCTGGGCTGGAGGGGCGGTCTCCATTTGCTTGGTACCTAGCCCCTGGGGTGAGTTAGGGCAATTTCTATATTGGCTTGGTGTGTGAAAGTTAGATAAAGGGGAAGGTTGCGGCTATGTTCTTGACAATAGTTAGATATGCTCAGGGCTCAGTCCTTTGCTGTCTCCAAGAATTAGCTAGTCCTGGGAGTCTCTTCCCTGCCAGCAAAATTTATAAGATACCAGAACATCATAAGATACAGAAAAAAAACCGTGATGAATGCAACTTCACAATATTGCCTCCTTTTTCCTTGCACTGCCTTTCCCTGATCCCTCTACCACTTTGGTTATTGTGACAGCAACAAGATTCATCTTTCAACCATCTACACCAGGGGTCAGCAAACTATGGGCTGATGGCCAGATCTAGCCAGCTGCTTGTTTTGTATGGCCCACAAGGTAACAATGCTAGAAAAAAAAAAAGAAGATCTCATGATGTGAAAATTATCTGAAATTCAAATTTCAGTGTCCTTAAGTAAAGTTCTATTGGAACATGGCCACACATTTATTTATATATCTTCTTGTGGCTGTTTTCTGCTACAGCTGCAGCGTCTTATACTAAACAGACTGTATGGCCCATAAAGCCTCAAATATTTACTTTATGGGACTCGATGGAAACTTTACTGACCCCTGATCTCAGTGTTTCTTTTAAGCATTGCAAAGATAGTTTGCAAAAATGCTATGAGAGCTCTATGATGGCATTAGATACCTAAATGTAGCAGCTGAAAAAAATTTCCTAAAGTGGTATTAGGCCTAAAAAAAAGTGATTCTAGGGCTACTTAAACAAGAAGTTTTTACAGCAAGAGTTACATCCTCTACTCATTTTAATGTCTAGGTAAGCCAGAGCTTTAAATCCTGTATTAATTTACCTGTGAAAATATTTCATATTCTCCCTTTTGTGCCGTGTGTGCGTTGGATTCCCCAGTGGGTGTATAGATGAATTTATAATTTATGTGGCTGGATGGAAGCCTGGGTAAATACAAGCATAAACAACATCAGGCAATGCCAGTCGATAGACTGCGATTCCAGGATGTGTTCTGTCCAGGCCTGCCGTTCATTCCAAAGGCCTGCATTTCAAAGCTGCAGGCTTGGAGCTGGGACTGCTGGGAAGGTGGGGGGCAGGGTTCAGAACTGGTTGGGCTTAGGAAGGTACCAGGAGAGTGCACCTTCTAGTACTTGAAATGTCCCTCCATTTTGAGGACACAGGAGTGGCCTACCTTTCATCTAACAAAGACAAGAGAATTGAACGCTGATTGTCTTTGTCTTTGAAGGGTTTATTGCTTTACCTCTTCACTTCACCTGGCTTTGGCACCTCTGTCATTTCTTCATTTACTGTTTTTTCTAGCATACTTTTAACTTCTTTCTGTACTTTCTCTTTCCAACTGCTGTCCACATGCCACCTGTGTATAGAATCCCAAGAAAACATAACCCACCATTAGAATTTTAGTTGCTAAACTATATAAGAACTTTGAGCTGTAGATTAACATCCTCTACCTTCCTTTGGTGCCATTTGTTTACCCCTTTTTCCGAACAAAAAACAATACCTGCCCCTGTTCCAAAGGTGTCTTACTATTCCAATAAAGAATGCATGCCTGGGAATAAAAAGAAGCTTAGACTACTGTTCCAATGGAGCTAAGTGTTCAAAGAAATTCCTGAATTCATTTCCTGGGGGAAAAAATGTGGTTAGTGACCTGGAAACTACTAACAACTTATAAAACTCAATACTCTGATGGCGACTCTGTTCGCTTTACCCCTAAGACATCTTGAAAGGAAAGACTTTTGTCAGAGTTGGGCTTCTAAAGTTTTAATAGGAAATTGAGGCACTTTCTGTATAATTCAAGCCAAAGATTTTTTTTTTTCTGGGTTTGAATGATTGGATAATTGCCTCAATTCTCTGTTCCATGTAATTGAGATCACTTGACTCTTCTTAGTGCTAATAAAGAGATGTTGGGATTCACGGTTTATTAACCAAACTTTTCAGTTTGTGGACCTGTCATTCAAAACTGCAAACAAGGCTGATCCCATGCAAAATAGACTACTGCCTTTATGCTGTACTAAGAATCAGTCCCTCTTAAAGGATGCATTTATAACCTTTATGCAATGAGGAAATTTCCAGGTAGCCAATTTTCTTTATAGTGCTACCAGCCTTCAGCAAGCTTAAACTCTGCCCTGCAAGCCTGAAACCCTGCTTCTCTAAGATTCTACATAACAGGAGATTAAACATCCAAATGTGTATAATCGCATTCTGGACAGTATGAAGAAGCTGTCTTGGAATATTGTTAACTATTAGAATACTTAAAGTGTGCACATCACCCAATTTAGGATTTCTTGGTAATAGTAGCCTATACTTTAGAAAATTAAAGAGGAGGAAGGGGCCGGGCACAGCGGCTCACACCTATAATCCCAGCACTTTGGGAGGCCGAGGTGGGCAGATCACTTGAGGTCAGGAGTTTGAGACCAGCTTGGCCAACATGGAGAAACGCCATCTCTACTAAAAATACAACAAATAATTAGCCAGGTGTGGTGGCCTGTGCCTGTAATCCCAGCTACTTTGGAGGCTGAGGCAGGGAATCGCTTGAACCTGGGAAGCGGAGGTTGCAGTGAGCCAAGATTGCACCACTGCACTCCAGCTAGGGTGACAGAGTGTGACCCTGTCTCCAAAAAAAAAAAAAAAAAAGGAAACTGATGTTTCTGAGAATAAAAAGGAAAATTACTCCTTGATGGATGTCAAACCAGTGGGTTTTCTACAATGAAACAAAGTTTGCTTGCTTTCTTTCCACCCACACTGCTTGGAGAAAATGAAAGTTAGCAAAAATCACCTTTCTCCAGATGAATCGTTGTGGGAAAGTAAGTTTAGCAGAATGTGCTGTCAACTTGGTTGAGATAAGGCAGTTGGAGGACTGGCATTATTAAATTTTCTGTGGTGCAATTAGGGGTCCTCCTAAGTGCAGGTGAGCTGTGGTGAGGAGTTAATGTATGCTCAGTAAATATGTGCTGAATGCATGAGCAAGGCAGTTATTAATCTGGTTATCATTGGGGATTCACAAATTTCACTTTATATCTTGTAACAAATCTCAAATTGTGCCCCTGAAACATCTGGATTTTGAAAAGTGATTCCAATCCATTGTCATGGGTGGCACTATTCCCAGAAATCAACAAAGGAAATCCAAGCCACTGAGGGTTTTTAAAAAATTTTGAGTATTAACTAGACTGTTATACTCTTCTGTGTTTATATGTAGTACCAATAATCAAGACAATAAATCCATCTTTAACAATAATATAAAAAGTCATCATTAAAAACAAACTAGGACCAACATGGTTTAGGATCTTGGGAGAAATCTGAAATCCCTCCCGTGAGAATTCTTGTCTCAGAATGTGAAAACGAAGTGCTAAACCTCACTCTCCCCAGATTTCTAGGATTTTGTGGAAGCTTTCCCGCCTTTCTGAACTTCTGTCCTCATCTGTGAGTAATGGGTCTGGACTAATTGAGATGGAATGGGCCTTCAGGGGTCTGTGGTTTGGGAAAGCACTTTCTCAGTTTGCTGGATTAAAAGGTAGATTAGCAAGTAAATGCAGCATCCTACATATGGGCCTCCAACCTCTTCCTGTCTGACTCTTTTGTTCTTTAATTGTACTTGAAGAGGGAAGGGATAAGAGGCTAATTGCTACTCGCTAGGACACAATGCAGTGATAAAGGCTTCACTCACCCCTACCCCTCCAGTTGCAGGCGGTCACACAACTATATACAGTTCTTCATGGTAAAGAGTGATTATTACCCAGACCAGGAATTAGAAAATACCCTTTGTGAAAGGTCAGTTGTATGATTTCAAAGGTGCTAGATTAAGAAAGCATAGTCTAAAGACTGCAAAAATAGCTGTGTTGTGTAGACTACATCTTTGTCATAGCAGCTGTTGTAATTGCGCTTGTTGACATAGATAACATATAACTTGCCTGGTCACACCTAGTCATTTGCAAATGAGTCACTTCTTGGCTCAAAGGACCAAGACTTAGAGAAGTGATAGTCAGAGCCAACTTCCGCATTTTGTCAACGTTCACTCCTTAGGCCAGAGTGGGGACCTCCTTGAAGGCTGTCCTGCCAGGGTAAGCTGAAGAATTTGACATACATGTTAGGGAAAGTCCTCCAGTGAAAGAAACCAGGGCATATATCAGTCCCAAGTGGGTGAATACCTTCTTTCCTTGGGCTATAAATACTCTCTGAATCCTACTCCAAGTAGGCCTCTTCTGCAAAAGAGGAATGATCAAAGGAAAAAGACAAAAACTAGTAAGAGGAAGAAAAATGTTGAGGAGATGTAAATAACAAATTAAATAGCTTTTGACAAGGGAGAGTTTAAGAAGAGGTATGACAGTAGTATCTTTCATGCGCGTCCGTGTGAAGAGACCACCAAACAGGCTTTGTGTGAGCAATAAAGCTTTTAATCACCTGGGTGCAGGCGGGCTGAATCCGAAAAGAGAGTCAGCAAAGGGAGATGGGGTGGGGCCATTTTATAAGATTTGGGTAAGGAAAGGAAAATTATAGTCAAAGGGGGGTTGTTCTCTGGCGGGCAGGAGTGGGGGTCGCAAGGTGCTCAGTGGGGGAGCTTTTTGAGCCAGGATGAGCCAGGAAAAGGACTTTCACAAGGTAATGTCATCACTTAAGGCACGGACCGGCCATTTTCACTTCTTTCGGGGTGGAATGTCATCAGTTAAGGTGGGGCAGGGCATATTCACTTCTTTTGTGGTTCTTCAGTTACTTCAGGCCATCTGGGCGTATACGTGCAAGTCACCGGGGAAGCGATGGCTTGGTTTGGGCTCAGAGGCCTGACAGTGTCCAAGCATCTGAAGCATTTGAACTCATTTAAAATCTAATAAGAAAACAATGAAGCTAGGAAATATATTCTCTTGGGAGATCACAAATTATTTGCTAATAAAATATATATTAGGTAAATGAACTGAACTAGATAATTAGGGGGATTATTTTCAATTACAGTAACTCACTGAACTGACTCAATAAAATCAATTTCATAAAATTCTGGAAGCTAGGTATCACCAACACCTTTCTACCTATTCAAAAATTAGCATGGCCTTTGTGAAGGGCAAAGAGGAACTAGATGGAGTGCTTGCTCTCTCAGTTTAGACTTAGAACAAAGAATAACCTAAGAGGTTCTTAGCATCTCCCCCAAAAGGCTCCGGAATTGTAAAATGCTGTTTCCTTTAGGATATTTTTACAAAATTTGTCTTAAAGATTAATCCAACCTATAATGGCCCAGGTTTATAGTGGAATAAGTGTGATCCCTTAGCTCTACTCTTATATTTAATAAGAGCAGATGAGAGTGCAGGTCTATTACTAAATTTTATAAGAAGGTGAGAGTGCAGGTCTATTACCAAAATAGTCTTACTAGTAGGACTTGTGTGTTCAGAGAGTTCACAGCACGGTGAAGGCAGTTCTTTGGTTTTTCTCCTCAAGGTTGACGCTGCCAATCTTGAATGAGCCTGAAGGGGTCTTTACTCTGCTTTCCTGCAGGCCCAGGTGTAGGCTGTGGACCTTCAATTTCCAGCAGGTGTAGGCTGTGGACCTTCAATTTCCAGGCTCTTTTTCTGCTCAATGGAACTAGCAGTACTATGGTTCTACAAGAGGTGAAAGGAATGAAGGAGGAGAGTTCTGCTGATTGGCTACCCATTACAGCATGACTCCCAAGTGATATGATATCTAGAGAGCCTCTCTTTTCTTTGCCTTAACGAAGGGTCCTATCTATTATCCTTGCTTCCTGGGTCTGGGCCCCAGGAGGTCAGTGGGCAGGTACCCATCCTCATCTGCAGAGGATTGGGGGATGAAGAGAGAAAAGTCAGCCCTGCTAATAACTGACGACACCATTTCCAATGAGGCTGGTAAGTTCCCAGCTCTCATCCTACTTCCTAACATGCTCTATGTTTTGAAACTTCCCGTCAGTCTTCTCTCCAAATTGAGACGTCTGTTTCTTCATGGTCTACCCATCTTAGCAAGGAATTTGAAAAAATTGGTGGTTTAAAATTGTTAATCTAATTCATACTGTAATGTGATTGACTGAGAATCCTTTCATGTCAGCTTTCTAGCTGCTAGAGTTTTAGGGCATATAATAGAAGGAAATTTAAAAATTCAGGCAGCAAGGGGAGAAATGTGTATGGAAGGACCTTGTAAAGCCTTGTAAAACTCTGAGAGGTTTAAAGATATTACCAAGTGATTGATTCACTTAGCCATCGAGCTGGTTGGTAACTGGCCTGGGACTAGAACCACAATCTAGGACTACTCTGCTGCACTAAGCAGATTCCCTACAAAGTAGGCCAGCCTGCCTGGGATTCTGTCCAGTTTCACTCTCCTAAGCAATTCTTAGTGTTTTCAGCTATTCTAGCACTTTTAAATTCACAGGTTCTCTAATTGTCAAGAAAAAAAATGGAATTTGTTTGAGGTTGACTGAGTACCTACATATCCCACATATGATGCATAGCGTCAGAGCTATTGAGATGTGATGAACACCCAGCTCCTGTGTTGAAGGAGCTCACCTTCTCCTGAGGAAATGGCCCTTGCAGTGCAGCAGGTGTTCAGAATCAATCTCTCCTTCATGCTGCTGTTGAATCCTCTAATCTTAGCTTCCTCAGCTTAGAAGGTCAGGGATTTCTCATGGTGGATGCAAACCTGAGACTTCACAAATGTTTTCCTGGGGAACTCCTTCTGCATGTGAGTACAGGGCCAGGCAGCCACATGTTGGCATGTTGTTTTATCCTGCACAAGGTGGAGGAGGCTGACTAGGGACTGAAATCCAACCAGTCCCCCAGTCCTCCAGCTGTGTACTGAGCCTGCACCAAGGCAGCCTCCACCAGAGGGAAGGCTACTTGATTGTAATTCATCCTCCCTGAGGAGGTTCCTTTTCCTAATTGGCACAAAGGCTTTTGATATGCTAGCAACAGCCCTGCAAAAGGACACTACCAAAATGCTCTATTTAAAGAACTACCTCGTGTTTGTGATGGCTGAAAACAGGGTAAAGTTGAGGCTTAACAGGTGGTTAGGAGCCAGATTTGGACTCTATGCTGAGGAACTGCACTTTATTTTAAAGATCAATGTAAAACCACTCAAGGATTTTTAGCAGTGAAGTGGCAAAGTCAGAGGTCCATTTTAGCAAGATAGCACTGGCTGACCAGTAGAGAGTGAGTGGTAGTTGGGGAAGGAGGGTCATGGAATAAGTTAGAGGGACTGGATAGGAGAGTCTTGTCTTAGACCAGACAATAAACTAGGAGGCTTTGAGCTAAAGCAGGGAGGATGAAGAGGAGGAAATGGATTTGCAAAATGTTAAGACAGTAGAGATAAAAGCCCTGGGTGAAGGACCGTGTGGGCACCCTTGTGGACAAAGAGGAATTGAGGCTGGGCAGCAGCCATTGTAGGTAGGTTTGTGTTGTAGGGCAGAAAGCAGGTGATCTCTTCCCTCCCCACCACAAGAGCCACAACTGACACCCCCATAACAAAGACAGGTTAACAAGGGAAAAGCATAGCAAATTTACCTGATTATAGTTTCACATGACACAGGAGCCTTCAGAATGAAGACCCAAAGGTACAGGGGAAGCTTGTGATTTTACGCTTCAGTTCGATGAAGCAGGGAGAGTGGTGTAGAAATGTGATTGGATGAAAGGGAAGGATCTAATAGACTGGCCGGGAAGCCAGCAAAGCCTGTCTGTTTAGGTTCTTCTCGCCTCTCTGTGCAAGGTTTCTTCCTCTCAGGTATGGGGTAGGACCTCTCTGAAATGAGGGTCTGAATGTCTTTACGGTCAGCTGTTGCACAGAAAGGCAAGGGGAAGGTTAGAGTAGTTTTTTTAGGTTTTATGACTAGCTTTGGGGAAAAGGGTTCTAGTTTCTATGGCTTGCCTTGGTGGGAGGCTGGGAGTTGAGAGTTAAGAGGCCAGGAGGTCAGAGGGAAACTTTGCTTCTGAGGCCTTCAGCTTGGAATGCCGTTTTCTCAGCCCTGCAGTGCTGTGGGTCGAATTGTGTCCTCACAAAAAAGGTATGTGGGAGTCCTAACCCCCCTACCTCTGAATGTGACCTCACTTGGAGGTGGGGTCTTTACAGAGGTAATGAAATTAAAATGAGGATTTTTAGTGTGGATAATAAAACCATATAACTGGTGTCCTTAACAAAGGGGAACATTTAGACATACACACACAGGGAGAACCCATGTGAAGATTGGACCTATGCTGCCACAAGCCAAGGAACTACCAAAAGTTAGAAGAGGGGCTGGAACAGATAATTCCCCAGGCCTTTCAGAGGGAGCACCACCCTGCAGACAGCTTCTGAGACAGCTGGCCTCCAGAACTGGGAGATGGGCCATTTCTGTTGTTTAAGCCACTTCCTTTGTGGTACTTTGTTACAGCAGCCCTAAAAAACTAATACAGTTTGTTTCTTTATGATTAAATTATTTATTACCTAAAATCTTTGATTAATTAAATCCCTTTAATAAAGGGGAGATTTATAAGGGCATTAAACAATACTTCCCACACTTGACTTTGAGCTCCTCAACTACAGTCATTCCATTTTGTTGCCAAACATCCTTTGAAGGTTTCATATTTCATTTATTTATTACCCTCAATTGTATCACATCTTAATCAATGTAAAGCAAATAGGGAATTTGAAATGTATACTTAAATCAATGAATGCAATTAAACACATATCCTGGAAACTGATGTGATCTAGTCCTGAGGCCCAGCCCACCTCAAGATGGAATGCCTAGGCCAAATGGCAGAGTCAGAAAGGACTCTAGAGAAAATAATATATTTCTTCATTTTATTGATGCACACAGAAAGGTCTTGAGAATTTATGTGACCTTGAGCAAGTGATTTAACAAATTGGTGACAGGGGTAGAAGTTAAGATTTAATCTCTTGACCTATAGACAGTTTTTTTCCTCCTTATACTGCTGATTTAATGCTGAATTTCATTTTAAACTGAGTTAGTTTGATGCTACTCCTAGTTTTTAAATACAGATGTTGAAAGTCAAATGATCAGAGACTCTCCATCCTGTAGTAGATTAAAAGGTGTAATAAAAATAAATAGCAGCCTATAGGAGAGCAAGCATGAGGTAAATGTATAGAGAAAGTAAAATTATTTTATCAAGTATATCTCATTGGTCATTTCTCAATCTCCATTTCTGATCACACTAAATCTTGAAACACAGGATTCTCCCAGGATTCAGGGGCTCTTTTATTTATATCCACTTTATAGGTGACTTCATTCATTCCTATGGCTTTAAAATCCTCCACTACCTGATGACGTCCATTTACAGAACTAGACCTTCTCACCAAGAGGTGAATTCACATTTAAATGTATGGAGCTTAACCTTTAGGACCTCTTATTTGCACAACCTCTTCTTTTTTATTATTTCAATAGGTTTTGGGGGAAACAGGTGGTGTTTCATTATATGGGTAAGTTCTTTAGTGGTGATTTCTGATATTTTGGTGCACACATTACCTAAGCAGTGTACACTATATCCAGTGTGTAGTCTTTTATCTTTCACCCCCACAGCCACCCTTCCCCCTCCCTGGGTCTCCAAAGTCCGTTGTATTATTCTTATGCCTTTGCGTCCTCATAGCTTAGCTCCCACTTGTAAGTGAGAACCTATGATGTTGGTTTTCCATTCCTAAGTTACTTCTCTTAGAATAATGGTCTCCAATTCCATCCAGGTTGCTGTGAATGCCATTATTTAATTCATTTTTATGGCTGAGTAGTATTCTATGGTATATTTATATCATATTTTCTTTATCCAATCATTGATTGATAGGCATTTGGGCTTGTTCCATATTTTTGCAATTGCGAATTTTGCTGCTACAAATGTGTGTGCAAGTGTCTTTTTCATATAATGACCTCTTTTTTTTTTTTTTTTTTGAGACAGAGTCTTGCCTTGTTGCCCAGGCTGGAGTGCAGTGGCACGATCTCGGCTCACTGCAAGCTCCGCCTCCCGGATTCACGCCATTCTCCTGCCTCAGCCTCTCTAGTAGCTGGGACCACAGGTGCCCGCCACCACACCCGGCTAATTTTTGTATTTTTATTAGAGACAGGGTTTCAAAGTGTTAGCCAGGATGGTCTCGATCTCCTGACCTCATGATCTGCCCGCCTCGGCCTCCCACAGTGCTGGGATTACAGGCGTGAGCCACCGCACCCGGCCAGTGACTTCTTTTCCTCTGGGCAGATACCCAAGAATGGATTACTGGATCAGATGGTAGATCTACTTTTAATTCCTTGAGAAATCTCCCCACTGTTTCCCATAGTGGTTGTACTACTTTACATTCCCACCAGCAGTGTAAAACCGTTCTCTTTTCACCACTTCCACACCAACATCTATTATTTTTTATTTTTTAATTATGCTATTCTTGCAGGAGTAAGGTGGTATCGCACTGTGGTTTTGATTTGCGTTTCCCTGATCATTAGTGATGCTGAGCATTTCTTCATACGTTTGTTGGCCATTTGTATATCTTCTTTTGAGAATTGTCTGTCATGCCCTTTGCCCACTTTATGATGGGATTATTTGTTTTTTTTTTCTTGTTGATTTGGTTGAGTTCCTTGTAGATTCTGGATATTAGTCCTTTGTTGGATACATAGTTTGCAAAGATTTTCTCCCACTCTGTGAATTGTCTGTTTGCTGATTATTTCTTTTGCCGTGTGAAGCTTTTTAGTTTAATTAAGTCCCATCTATTTATCTTTGTTTTTGTTGCATTTGTTTTTGGGTTCTTGGTCATGAAGTCTTTGCCTAAGCCAATGTCTATAAGGGTTTTTCCAAAGTTATCTTGTAGAATTTTTATGGTTTCAGGTCTTAGATTTAAGTCTTTGATCCATCTTGAGTTGATTTTTTTATAAGGTGAGAGATGAGGGTCCAGTTTTATTCTTCTACATGTGGCTTGCCAATTATCCCAGCACTATTTGTTGAGTAGGGTGTCCTTTCCCCACTTTATGTTTTTGTTTGTTTTGTCAAAGACCAGTTGGCTGTAAGTATTTGGCTTTACTTCTGGGTTCTCTATTGGGTTCCATTGGTCTGTGTGCCTGTTTTTATGCCAGTACCATGCTGTTTTTGTGACTATGGCCTTATAGTATAGTTTGAAGTTGGGTAATGTGATGCTTCCAGATTTCTTCTTTTTGTTTAGTCTTGCTTTGGCTATGAGGCCTCTTTTTTGGTTCCAAATGAATTTTAGGAATTTTTTTCTAGTTCTGTGGAGAATGATGATGGTATTTTGATGGGAATTGCATTGATTTGTAAATTGCTTTTGGCAGTATGGTCATTTTCACAATATTGATTCTAGCCATCCATGAGCATGGGATGTTTTCCATTCATTTGTGTCATCTATGATTTCCTTCAGCAGTGTTTTGTAGTTTTCTTTGTATAGGTCTTTTACCTCCTTGGCTAGGTATGTTTCTAAGTATTTTATTCTATTTTTCATTTGCATATGCTCTCCTAAGTCTCTGTATTTAATTTTGTATAGGGTCTGGCATTCCTTATCTTAAAGGAGCTTCCCCCCAGATTATATCCACTCCAGGTTCCACAAGCCTGGATGCACTCCTTGTCCTTCCCTGAACTTCAGACTAGTACACTACACCCCCACGGGAATGGCCATGTCCAAAACACAGAAAGAAAACTCTTGGTTTTCTCATCAGTGGCAGTCACTGCTGCTATTCATCAAATATTTCCAACTTTCTTAAGTCCAGGTATGCAGTAGATTGTGCTTCCTTCCATCCCCTTTGAAGTTAGGCATTGCTTTGTGATTGCTTTGTTTGATGAAATATGAGTGGAAGCAACTTCACTTCCCATCAGGCACTTTGGGAACCAGAGTGCAATTCTCTATGCTCCTCGCTGCTGTGGTGGTGAAGGCAACCAGTGTCAAAGTGAAGCCTCCGACCCCTTAGGTTCCTAAGTGAATCCTCTGAATGGAGGCCCCTGCCAACTGGCAATGGAAATGTCCTGAGCGAGAAGGAGATTTTTTTGGGTTAAGCCATTGAGACTTAGAAGTTGTTTGTTACCACAGCATAACCTAACTTATCCTGATTGATACACCTCCCAAGTCTGTGCCTCTTCCTGGCTTTCTACCTCAGTAAACACGAATTCAATCTTCTGGGTTGCTTAGGACAAATTACATGGTCTCATCCTTGATTTCTCTTTCTTTCACTGCACATCAATAATCCTGGAGACCTTCAAATGTATCTAGAAACTGACTACTTCTCACTACTTCCATGTCAAGACACTGTCATCTGCTGGATTATTGCAACAGTCTTCTAAAGCCTCGCCTTCCTTATGGTCTAGTTGTCACATGTCAGCTAGGACAGCTGTTCAGAACACAAGTCCACTTGTGTCACTCATCCCATTACTCATATTTCTATAATGGTTTCTCATCTCCCTCCAAGTGAAACCCAAGACTCTGTAAGATCCAACCCTGCTGCCTCTCCAGCCTCATCCCCTGTGATCCTGCTTTGTGATCATTCAGGTGTAGCCACACTCCCCTTGCTAGATCGTGCATATGCTCGACCTTGCCCTTGCCATTCCCTTGGCCTGTAACATCTGTCCAAGGCAGCTTTGTGGCTCATTCCCTCTTCTTCATCTCTCTGCTCATATGTTTCCTTCTTCACGAGGCCTCTGGTTTCCTCTAAATCAGCTACTCTCTTTCCAACATTCCCATTAGTTTGGAATAATAAGGGAAAATGTTACTATTACATGTTAGGTTCTCTGTTGAACTCTTGATATATAATAAATAACCTCATTTACTTATAACTATCCTGTGAAATGGAAACTATTATTCTTATTTAAAGAGTACAGTAACTGTGGCTTAGGGATATTAAAATGAGCTTAAGTTCACAAAGCTGGTAAGCGGCAGAACTCAGATTAATCCATCTGCCAGACTCTTAAGCTATCCCCTTAATTGCTATGTAAGTCTGCCTCTAGATTAGGAAGAGTCCAAAGACATAATAAAACTTGATTTTGGCAATTTTAAAAATAATTATTTATATCATCCTATTGGCAAACAAATTCAGACTGTATGAGAGCACAGTTAGGAGAATTCAGAGCTTGCTGAGCAATGGCTCCCACAGAGTGTGGATTAATAAGTCAGTGCCCACTTCAATACAGGTCTGTAATGGTGTGGCAGTGTTCTGGCTCTGCCCTGGTCTTGCTCTCACTCCTATTATTCACCAGGATGAAGACTGGAGAGGCCAAAAAACTGATGTGGCATTAATATTCAAAAAAAATTTTGATGCAATAATGAATTAAATCAAACCAGATAAAGCTTGGCAGACTGAAGTTAAACTTTGCATTTAGGTTCAAAACTCAATATTGTAAATTCAGTGGGGGTGAAAACATTTCTTTCTTTTTTTTTTTTTGTTTGAGACAGAGTCTCACTCTGTCACCGAGGCTGGAGTGCAGTGGCACGGTCTTAGCTCACTTTAGCCTCTGCCTCCCAGGTTCAAGTGATCCTCCCACCTCAACCTCTGGAGTAGCTGGGACTACAGGTGTGCACCACCACACCTGGCTAATTTTTGTATTTTTTTGTAGAGATGGGGTTGCACTATGTTGTTCAGGCTGGTCTCAAACTCCTGATGTCAGGTGATTGGCCAGTCTCAGCCTCCCAAAATGCTGGGCTTACAGGCATGAACCGCTGTGCCTGGCCGGGAAAAAACATTTCTTACAAAAGTTCATGTAAAGAAACCTAGTGATTTGAACTGACCCGTTTCTTCATGTGGACCGAGAGTATGACACCACACAGGTGTTTTTAGGAACCATCGTAGTCTCAAAAACTCCTTATCCAGATTGAGGAAGAATAGAGGTGAACTAGGCTGCTAAACCATAGCTCTTTTATTTAATCCTATTGTTTTGTCATCCTATTGTTTTCAGTTATGAATAGCAAGCTTTAAAGAGAACATTGACAAACTCAAGGCACAAAGAAGACAGTAATAAGGGTGGTGAATTGGAGGAATTAAAGCCATATGAGAGCCTCTTCCTGGATCCAGAGTTGTTAAGTCTGAAGGATGGATGTTGGAAAATTAATCACTGTCTTATTTAGGCTTACTCTACTGTGTAAAATGGAAGAATTGAGGCTAACATGTGAAAATTACAAGGAAGCAGATTTCAAGTCAATGTAAATATTTTCTAATCAACAATTATGTCCTGCATCCCGAATGATTACGGAAGATATTCCCGTGGATAGTTGCATAACCGTGCCCCTACCTTCAAAGTGCTCTCTGACCAGTAAGAGAGACAGCTCAATTATAAATGTTGACCTGCTTAAATGCAATCATTGACGTTCCTGTAAGAGTCTGTAGTTGCACAGAGGAAGGAGTGATTAATTCTCTCTCCCTAGGTGGTCAGGGATATTTCACAAAAGTGATAATTAAGCATAACTTAGAAGCATAGGTAAGAATTTTTGAGGGGGATAAGTGGTAGAGAAATGCTCCCTGGAGAAACTAGTAAAATAGTTAAGGATATCATATAAGGATGTGAAGAAGCCAAGTAAGGGTGTGTTAGTCTGTTCTCACACTGCTATAAAGAAATACCTGGAATTGGGTAATTTATAAAGAAAAAAGACTTAATTGGCTCACAGTACCGCAGGCTACACAGGAAGCATGGCTTAGGGAGGCCTCAGGAAACTTTCAATCATGGCAGAATGCAGAGGGGGAGCAGGCATATCTTACATGGCTAGAGCAGGAGGAAGAGAGAGAGGGGAGTTGCTACACACTTTTAAATAACCAGATCTTGTGATAACTCACTAACTGTCACAAGAACACCACCCAAGGGAAATCCACTCCCATGAGCCAGTCACTTCCCACCAGGCCCCACCTCCAACATTGGGGATTACAATTTGACATGAGATTTCGGTGGGGACACAGACCCAAACTATATCAGAGTACAATTTCAGATGAAGTCCCAGACTCAGCCTGATCCCATGGGGAAACCTGTAGCATAATTTACACCTCAGAGTTTGTTCACTTTGAAGCAAAGGAGCCAAGCTTTTGTACTCCCATACCAGTCTGTTCATGGTTATGGGCTACCCTGATGGACGGGGGCTGGAATACAAAACGCCCAGGCATATGTGGAGCAGGACATCTCCAGAGCAATGCTCCAAAGGTCGTAGATTTTAGGATGTGAGGCATTAGCAGCAAGGCATAAAGAAGTTGGAGGATGCGTACATGATATGCTTAAAGAGATCTGGTAAAAGCACCATCAGTGTCCTTTACTGGGGACATGAAAAAGAGGGTCTTGGCTGGGTGCGGTGGTGCATGCCTCTAATCTCAGCACTTTGAGAGGCTAAGGTGGGATGATTGCTTGAGCCAGGAGCTGAAGATTAGCCTGGGCAACATGGCAAGACTCTGTTTCTTAAAAAAAAATACAAAAATTAGGCAGGTGTAGTGGCATGCAACTGTGGTCCCTGCTACTCGGGAAGCTGAGGTGGGGGTATCTCCTGAGCCCAGGAGGTAGTGAGCTATGATTACACCACTGGTCTCCAGCCTGGGTGGAAAGCGAAACCCTGTCTTGAAAGAAAAAGAAAAGAAAAGAGAAAAGAAAGAAGAAAAGAAAAGGAAGGAAGGAAAGAACAAGGAAGGAAGGAAGGAGAGAAAGAAGAAAGAAAGAAGAGAAAGAAAGAAAGAGGAGAAAGAAAGAGAAGTCTTCAGCAAAAGAATCAGTCAAGCAAGGGCGTGGAATATGATGTGTGCTTAGAGGGATAAGTGCAATTTTACTGGAATAATAGGGTGAATAGGAAGAAAAAGGCTAAAGACCTAAAGTGGTCGACTTTTGTGGTACCCAGGAAAAACTCCTTCAGTAGGCTGTCTCAAGAGAGACAGGAATCCCATAGAAATCTTATGGAAAAATCTACAGTACATCGATGCTTCATGGAGGCTTTTCTGGATGGTGATTCAGGGTCTAGGTGCTGTAGGTATCTCAGTGGAGGACCAATGGGTTATTTTAGTTCTCTGAAGATTTTTTTCTCACCTTTTCTGATTCAAAATCTGAGGTTGACCTAGCAAACCATCACTGACCTAGTAGGAGCAGAATATTTTGTATCAGCACATTTCTTAATTTGCTGAAAAACTGTGGGCCTCCTTGGCCATCAGCTGTCACTGGGAATATAGATTAATATGTTATTGGGTATAACGGGGAGATTAAAGGGAGAAAGGAAGTAGTGGCCATAGTCCATGTGCCATGATTGACCAGAATAAGCTTTTCTGGAGCCAGGTCAAGAAAATCCTTGTATCAGTCATCCATGGCTGTGGAACCAACTTCACAGGGCCATGCAAGTGGTAAGTGAGTAGGGTGAGGCCAGTGAGGTGAGTGTAACAACAGGGGCATGCAGTTTAAAGAGACACTTACTCTTATGTCATGGAAGTGCAAATGAGGCCTCCTTGAATTTTGCACCCTAGGTGCTTCACCTCCCTCAACTTAGTCCCAGCCTCAAAACTTAATAGTTTAGCTCATGTACCTGTGAGTTAGTACTTTGGGATGAACTCAGCTGGTCAATTCTTCTCACTCCCAGTGAAATCCAAGGCCCTGTAAGCTCTAACTTGCTCGCTCTCCAGCCTCATCTCCTGGTCTATACTAGGCTTGTTCATGTGTCTGTGCTCAGCTGGGTTTAACTGGTGGATGACGGCATTGGCTGTAATATTTGGTTGTGAAAATTGTCACTCCAGCAGCTAGAGGAAGAAGGACTGGCAAGGTGAGACTGGAGGTAATAATAAATCAGGAGCAAACAAAAAATGAAACCTGTAGCAAGAGAGTAGTAGGATGGAGAAGAGAGGAGGACCGAGAATATTTAACAAAATGAATACGTATTGATAATATAGTTGGCATGCTGGAAAAAAAAACCCACTGGAATTTCAGATTAAATCCACTCCAAAGGGAGGGATTCCAGTTTCAGTTAGGTCCTAAATTCTTCCCTCTGCCCATGGCTGTTCCAGCGTTCACTTTCTTCAACTCTTCCCAACCTCATTGCTACTCACTCTCAGCCAACAATCTCGCTTCCTTATTCATGAAGAAAATTGATGTCAACAATGGTAAATCAACTCATCTTCCGTCTGCCTCCATCTACTCCCCGCCCTTCTTTCCACCTTATCTCTGTCCGCCCCCACCGTGGCTATTTCCCAGGGCTCTCAGAGGGCAGTCTCTTCCTGTCCAAGCTTAAGGCCTCTTCCTGTGATCGCCATCCCATTTCCTCCCCTCTCCTTGGATCTTTCTGCAAGTCCTTTTACAAAAAGTTATGGTCCCTGTTCAGTATTATGGGGGAGAAAGGCATTAAATGTACTATAATATATTGTAGAGGCATACTTTCAAAATTTCTGTTATGGGTGTAACTAGCAAATAGTCAAGTACTAAAAAAACAGTTTGGACATCTTATACAAATATGGGAGCCAGTTATGAAGTTTCTTTGTTTCTGATTTTGACTTTGGAACTATACGAAAAGTGTTAACTCTTCCCTGAATCCACACAGCACATTTTTTTTTCTTCTGGATAACTCTGGTATTTTACCTGAAACAATAGGTTGTCAGTGAGATGCTCAGGGGCCTGAAGGAGATAGAAATACTGGAAGAAGATCAGAGAGTAAGGACAGACATTACTGAGGGAGTGGGAGGGATTCATTTATGTAGAAACATGAAAGCAGAATTAACTAGGCAATGACTAATGATATGATAACTGTCTACAAACACCAAGCGTGTATGATGTGAATGCCAAGAAGTCAAATTGCTTCACTCGGCACAAAGATACAATCTGTACAGTAACACAGTAGACAAAATAAATAGAGCATCCTGAATTACCATCACAGAAAATTCCCCCAAATAAGTAGAAATCGAAATGATTTAATGAAGACTACTTCATTTCTTAGGACAACTCGCATCCATCCATCCATCCATCCATCCATCCATCCATCCATCCATCCATCCTCCATCCCTTTCTTCAGTAAACTTTAAGTACTTAAGGAGCTACAAAGGAACCAGCTCTTCAGCTTTCCCCATTCACACCTCATGGGCCCCAGCCTCTATCCTTTCCTTTCCTTCATTGCCTGAGTGGCCTTCCTGAATCATCTTTATTGTTACTTTCCAACAAAAGCCAAAAAATTATTGCTAAAAAGGCCAAAGCAATAGATAGCATCTTGATGTATAAGGAAAAAAAAATCCACAGCAGCCTTGACATGGCATTCAAGGCTACTGTTGATCCTGGAGGAGGCATACCAGCCTAGAGAGTAAGCATGGGTCAGTGCAGTCTATCACCACTACTCTGAAAGCACACCAAGAGTTGTGTCATTGACTCCCCATCACTTACAAATTCTCCCTTTCTCCTATGTGATACTGACTCACCCCTCCTATCATCATCTTCCGAGATCAATGGGGCAGTGGTAAGCCCATTTCTAAACAGTGGTACTGAAAGTGTCCCTTTTCTCAGGAAATTTACCATCGACATCACTGACACTAAGGATTAAATAATAATTTCCCAATCACGCATTTATTCAATAAACTCATATTGAGTGATGGCATTGTGCTAGGTTCTTAGCTGCAGTCTAAAAGCCGGTGTCACACAGAATGCCAGGACAGAGTCTCATCTTCAAGGAATCATTTCGGTGCTGCTTGCTCCACTAGAGACAATCAGTTTGGAGTTGTATTTTATTTATTTATTATTTATTTATTTATTTATTTATTTATTTATTTTTGAGACAGAGTCTTGCTCTGTCGCCCAGGCTGGAGAGAAATGGCGTGATCTCAGCTCACTGTAACCTCTGCCTCCCGGGTTCAAGCGATTCTCCTGCCTCAGCCTCTCAGGTAGTTGGGATTACAGGTGTCCACCACCATGCCCGGCTAATTTTTGTATTTTTAGTAGATACCGGGTTTCGCCATGTAGGTCAGGTCTTGAACTCCTGACCTTAGGTGATCTGCCCGCCTCGGCCTCCTGAAGTGCTGGGATTACAGGCATGAGCCAGCGCGCCCAGCTGGAGCTGTATTTTACAAAGTGTCAGTGTCTCAAAACCTGCGGTGGACTATAGATACAGGTCATAGGAGTTACCTGTGTGGATGGGATAGGGCCAAACAGCAATGAGTTGGTAGTTCGGAGCTATTTTAAGAAAAAAATCCGAGAAGTTTTAGTTTATTGTGGACGGGTGGGGATTGGCGGTAGAAAATTACTAAATTTATTAGAAAAATCAAGGAGAAAGTATCATTCCGTGAATTCCTGCAAAGGCGATCGACCCAGGGAATGGTTGGGGCATTCTACTTCCAGAAGAACACTCAGCATCTTGAACAGGATGAAACTGGAAAGTATGGATAAAGGAGTAGACTGCTGAATTTTTCAAACAGACCTTCCAACTTTCCAAAAAGAAAAATGAACATTCAGTATTTAAGGGGTCTTTATTGCCATCAAGTGGTGGAAACAAGGATAGCGCTAAAAGAATTTAATATGAATATTTTTCTAAGCGGCAGGGAGGCTGGAAGATACTAACCTTCAAAGTAATTACTGGGTTTAAAAGCCTTTATTTAATTAGGGTACTATCACAATTTTGTAACCTTTTCTGTATTTATAAGTTCTATATTAATTATTCTCCTGATTTCTACTCCTGGCTCTATTGTGCAATCCCTGTAGCCCTAGTTGATGATGGTTATATCATTGGAGAAATGCTGCCACCTTGTGGGAGATGTGAAAAGAAGTCCCGAGAGCAAGTGAGAAATCACGTATTAACTTTGTGAAGAGAAACTTGTACTCTTTTAAGTAGGAATTTATCCCTGAGTAAAATTGTCAAGCCAGAAGAATTAATCTTTAATATTTCTGTCCTCCCTTTTTTTGTAGGCAAATGGCATACATTACTTTTCAATTGTTCTTTGTTCACTTCTGTGTGACTTTGGGTAATTTGTTAGTTTCCTTATCTGGAAAATGTGCAAATGGGCATAATAACACGTATAGAACAAAAGAAGTATTATTTTCCTTTATTATTTGCCTCTTTTTTTACACTAAAGTGTGTGTGGCTGCTGTGCTATTTTTCCTCTTCTTTTTCTTTACTTTCTTTCCTTCTTTCTTTCTTTTCCTTTTTCTTTTTCTTTCTCTTTCTCTTTTCTTTCTTTTTTTTTTTTAAGAAGGGATCTCACTCTGTCATCCAGGCTGGAGTGCAGGGGTGTGATCTCAGCTCACTGCAGCCTCAATCGCCCCGGGCACAAGCGATCCTCCCACCTCAGCCTCCAGAGCAGCTGGGGCTACAGGTGCATGCCACCATGTACAGCTAATTTTTTTGTATTTTTTGTAAAGGCAGGTTTTTGCCATGTTATCCAGGTTGGTCTCAAACTCCTAGGCTCAGACAAACCACCCACCTTGGCCTCCCAAGTGCTAGGATTATAGGTGTGACCCACCGTGCCTGGACTTGTGCTGTTTCATAGTCATGGCAGTCCATAAAATGCAGAGCAGCAAAAATACATTTTTATTTTTGTAAAGGAACATACTTTTCTAGACCTTGAATCCTCCTCATCCCTCTCTCTGACAATTTCTAGTTTTTTGAGCCCAATTAAGAAGTTTGGTCAAATTGAAGATTCGTCTAACTCAGCTCCTGTTTAAATCCTCCACTTCTACTTCCTCCCTGCAGGCTGCGTTTTGTAGGTCGCCACTTCCTTTGGTGCTCCTCATACACACAAGGCAGATCCTGAATGCAGGTGAGGCCGCGAGATCCACAAAACACAGATTTCCCATAAAGAGGCCAGGGACACAGTCCAAACCTTATCTACTTTAGAAGAATATGGAACCCCTGCTTACATATTACTTTTCCTCCTGTTTCTTTACAGTGGTAAAGGGAGCAATAGATTGTCAAACTGGAAAAATATCTCACATGAAATTTTAGTTTTTGACAACGAATAAGAAACAGGGCCATTGATTTCAATTTTCTAAAGTTAACACCTCTAAAAATGATAACCCCTGAACTGAAAACCTAGAAATCCCTCCAGGACTGAAATTTCCCAAAAGATTGCCCTCATTTCCCACAGGTCTCAAGTGCTGCCTTCTTTCATCCTTAGGTAGTTAAGGAGAAACACACTTCCCCACATCAGCCCTGGCGGGTATTGAAGGGCTCTGGAGGTTCTGGGAGATGTCCCCTCTCCACCTCTCCCAAACATCCAGCAGAGGAGGCCAGTGCTTCTTCCATCAGCCTGGGATCTCCTTAGATCCACCCCCACTTCCATTTTCACAGTATCTTTCCTCCTTGTGATTTTTGGCCTTGCTTCTCTTCAACTGACAACATCTAAGAACTATACAATCATAGACTTTTCATATGTATATATGGAACGTGTAGAAAATAGAAAGCCTTAGTCTTGAGTTATAGGTAAATACAGAAGAAAAAGCAATTACATGTTAAAGCCATTTCTGTATCAAGTATAGCAATTTCTGTGAGATAAGGAATGTGCTTAGGTGGGATATCTGAAGTCTCAGAAAATTACTTCACAAAGGTTAAAGCATTCTCTGGGCAAGGCGAGTGGATGTCGTGGTCCTGCTTTGTCAACTGTTACATGGTAGTGTTTTGTTAGTACATAGAGGGCATGGCCTTCAGGGAGAGGTGGTCTCCTCCTCAGGGAAACCTAGTCTCCATTACTGCCTCAGTTTCCTGGTTTCTCCCTGAATGATATTCCAAATATCACAGCGTGCCCACCCTTGGGCCCAGTAACCCCTCTTGTCTCCGTCACTCACAAGTCACGTAGGGAAGCATTCCTCAGATCGCTATCACTTAGTGGCAAATGCAGTTTGCCTCCCACTCAATTCCATCTCTGCAGCCTATGGTCTTCTGGCTTCCTGGAAACCAGAATCAATCAGATGTGGATCAGATGTGGATCGTTTAAGCAGGAGGTATGCGCAGTTTCCTTCCTAGGATGCTGGGGCCAGGACAAGTCAGCCTGCACTAGCAAGGCACATGTAACACATATGCTCACACATGCCCCAGATTTTAATCCCATAATCTGGGTCAGGATCTGTTGTCATGAACACGAGAGACCAGTTGCCATGTGCTTACTCTTTTCCAGTGTACTGGAGCAGAATTACTGTAAGCCAGCGATCCTGACCTGGAGTTCATGGCTGGGTTTCAGAGGACCTGTGATCTTCTGAAATGGTATGTAAACTCTATGTGTATGTGTATGTGCCTGTGTATGTGTTTTGCTATGTCTATATTTCTGAGGAGAAAGTCCACGTATTTCATAGAGTTTTTAAAAAGATTTGTAATCCCTCAAAATGTTTGAGGTCTGCTAAATGGCTTCCCAGAGTGTAAGAATTTGGTCCTCTTGGGACCCAACTGTCCCATCTACCAAAGGAAAAAATGAAACATAGCCCAACATCTACGAAGCATTGAGTGTGTGCCAGCCATGCCCATATAGCATATCTCATCTAATCATCTCACCAACCATGCAAAGAAAGCATCATTCCCCTGCTCTCAGACCAGAAAGTGGAAGCCCACAGAGGTCAAGTAGCATGCCCAGCAAAAGCTGGCATTCAAACTAGCATTGCCAGGCTCCAACACCCATGTCCCAGCCACCACCGCAGCACTCTGATTATCTTTTGTCCTGCTTGGATTTCTTTCCTTCCTTCCTTCCTTCCTTCCTTCTTTCCTTCCTTCCTTCCTTCCTTCCTTCCTTCCTTCCTTCCTTCCTTCCTTCCTTCCTTCCTTCCCTCCTTCCTTCCTTTTTCCAACTCTCTCTCTTTATTCTTGTTCTTTAGCCACCCTTCTGCTTTGCGGAAATCAAATCAGTCCATTCCCATCTGACAGGTGTCTGCCCCTTCCTTCACCCTTTCTTGGCTTACCACAGAGTTACACACTGGTGGCCCTTGGGTCAACACTGCCCTGCAGTTGTTTTTTTTTTTTTTATGATGAACAATGTTTTGCTAATATTTAGAAACTGGAAAAATTCACATAAAAGTTTGGATTTCAAACTGATTTTGAGAAAAATCAGAAGATCTAGCAACCCCAAGCCCACAGTCTCTCTTGATAAAGGGACGTTGGGCTGAGTTGGTGGGGCTTGTGTTCTCCATTTCCCTGCAGTCCTCACCACTCCCTCTCTGACCCCTGCATCGCTGTCCTGTGTCATCTGCTGGGGGCCTTTGGCATCTGAATTTTAACTCATTGTTTCCTCTCTCCCTTCTCTGTTTCCTCTCTCCCCTCCTTCTGCCTTGCATATTCCTCAACTGTGGGCTCTCCCTCCCTAGAATAAACACCTTTTATTTCTCCTTCATTTATTTACATTCTCTCTCAGGCTAATTTCTGCTGTCTTCCTCCTCTTTCCTGTTATAGAACTGAAGACAAAGATAGGCAATTGGAGACTGTGCTGTCTATTATGTGTCTGAATGCTGTGGGGCTAAGGTACTAAGCAGGGCAAACCTGGCCGGGGCTTCCCTTGTCTGTTAGTATTTCCTTTCTTGTGCTTCTCTTAAAAAGAAAAAGAACAACCTGACACACATAAGTGTGTTGTTAGTTTTATCCCAACTGTATTGCATCTAAAAAAAATACATAAATAAATAAATAAAAAGCAAAACAGCCAAGTTGGAGGAAGTGAAAATGGAGCCCTGGGACCCTGATTTATCTGTGCTTGCCCCATTTCTCGACACTATATGACACATGGACATTGTGGTGCTTCTGCTGTAGCAGGCTTTTTCTGTGACATGGGGCATCTGATTCTTTGATTTCCAATGTCTCGCTCTCTGAGTTAAGTTTTTTGAGCCTAATGTGATTGGATGTTCCATTTGTTTTACAAATAATTTATTCAACATAAATTACGGTAAACTTCCAACATGTCGTCTTTTCTCTTTTACCAATCTGGAGAAGCAGGCAATGAGAGGACAAGATGTCCTTAGAGTGATACAGTGATATTAAGTGTTCCTGTACTTGACTCCAAAAGTGCATTTACCAAGTTCTCCAGGATTAATGTGCCCACTCATTACAGTGGTGTTAAAAGGAGAAGGTCAAGCTTAGCAAGGGAGAAGGTGGCACATATCCAAAAAGAAAGCTGCAAAACCCTGGCAGTGGCCACCAACCCTGCATGTTCAACTTTACACACATGTGGTCTTCAGAGTCTCACTCTTTAACAGATGCGTCCTAAATCGTATGTCATGCCGGTGAATTTGGTGAATGAAAACATATTTTCTCATTGGAAACAAATGTCTCACTTCAGAGATGTTTAATCAGAATATCTGGTTGATCTTTAGCTGATAGTGACTCTCATCTGTATGTTTATTTATCTAGACAAATTTCTTCATTACATTTTCCATAATGGATATATTTTAATACATGTAAAGAAATCAGCTAGTCCAATAATTTGAAACTTTAGGACCAGAGGCCACCGAGGGCAGTGAATGAAGGTAATGCACAAGGCCGGAATGCTAGCAGTGTCTGAATCAGTGTGTCCACGGACTCACCTGCCTGTACACTGGCTACTGAAAGTATATTATATTTTAGATTTCAAAGGGGCTGAGAACCACTGGGATAGACTCTTCTTCACATATGGGAGCTCCCAGATGGATTAACCTTGTGGGACAGGAAGACAGCAAGGGAGCAGCGGGGCTTGTTGCTCCTGGGCTGGAGTTCCTCCTGTTATAATCTGTTGCCTGAACCAGAAGTCCCTGTTGGGGAATCCTTTGGCTGTAGCCCCCTCAGTAGTTCTGTAGTAATATCATTTGTGGTATTAGTGTGAAAGCATTTGTTGTTCTCCTCTTGATTTTCCAATGTGATATGGAAATGGAAGACCAATGAATGGAGGACTAGGTACGGATGGGAAATTATCTGTACTATAATTTCTTCTTGCTCATCTTAACCCACTTCCCTTTGCCTGCAGTGGCAAAGGGAGTATGTGGATATTGTCCCCTTAGCTAATAAAATGTTCCTTTCAGGCATTCCTGGGCCTGTCTCTGTTCTCCTAATGCCTTTGACCGAGGCTACAAAGCTGATGTGTGGAGCATCCAGGAAGTGTGTTCTGATAGGATTCCCAGAAGACCTGCCACCTGCCAGTTCTGTTCTGTTTTCCTGATGGCCCACTGCTCACTGTGAAACTAAACATTTGCAGAAGGCCTCAGATGACCTTGAAGAGCTCACTAAGATTCAGGAGCCTTGATTTTATCCTGGAATCTGACACCAGTGTGCTCTACAGTTCACTGAGTTCCTCTCGTTCTCTTTCCCTCTCACCCATTCATGTATAGGATTATTAAGTAAGACATTTTCCCCTTCTTTGAAAATGTTAGTACTTATTTTCAGGCATTCATTTCAAATATTCCAAATGTCTCCCACATGCATGTAAAGCACTATAGTAGACACGTTGGGGCAGAAAGTAAAGAAAAAACTAAGAACATTATGATGATGATGTTATTCCTATTTTATACATAAGTAAACTGAGGCTTAGTGAAGCTAATTAAATTGCAAAAGGTCGCCAACCTAGGAAGAGCTGGCATTCAAACCCAAGTCAGTTTGATTTCAAAGGCCATGTCCTTCTCATTGTTCCGTGTTTGCTACAAAGATGATTGGAACATGGCTTATTTCTCCAAGGGGTTTTAAGCCCAGAACAGATGAGAGTACATATACGATAACTATAATTCAAAGAGTATTCTGTAAATTCTGCATAATAGACAAAAATACAGGGCTATGGGAGAATGATAAACGTGAAAATTATTTAAAGTTATGTGTGGTTCTTTGTTGTTGGGAATGTTGTTGCCATGGCTACAACTTGAGCCTCTGTCATAGTTCTGAATTAAAAGCTGCACAGATGTATATGCAGATACGCTGACATCAATGGACAAAGTCATGCCACCGATGACAGCAAATGCTAGTGTTAGAGATATTCAGGGAACTTTAAACTTTCCAATAGCTGTGAGCAGCAGGCATTGGTGCGATTCCCTGACTCTACACCATCCTCTCCATCTATAGTTTGCAACTGAGCCCTCTCCATGGTTCATTGACGTAGTTAGCTCCTCAAGGAATCAGTGCTGATCTGAGCTTGTCCTGCTGCTGCTACCTAAGGGCAAGTTAACACCATTCCCCAAATGTGGGAATGAAGGATTTTAGAAGTCCCACTGCAACATTCTGTAAGGAACCAAACACTCATGCTCTGCAAAGGTTAAACCCCAGGCCAGATTCCAGATTCTTATCCTCTGAAGCTCTATGAGAGAACTGTTACTGCCTTCAGAGACTATGGATCTGGCTCAATAAAAACAAACGAATTTATAACTGTGTTACAGACACATTCCACTTGTAACTCCATTAAGAGGCATTACATGCTAGATGTTCAGCCCCATGACCATTGTAGCTGCCAGACCCAAAACAAAGATTCATTTGATTTTCAGATATGACCTTCTTGGGATCAGACCCACCAAGCTCTGGATGCCCAGAAGGCTGCTCAGGTTGGAACACCTGTAGCCCCCGCGCTGGGGATTAAGAAGCACTTGTTCCAGCTATAAGCCTTGCCAAATGTCTCCGCACCACAGAAATGAGATCTGGCCTGCGTGGAGTGCAGGGGGCCCCCAGCTTGCATCACATTCTTCCAGGCTTAATCTACTCAACAACCAAAGTGGAAACAGTTTTCTAGCCCCTCTTAGCCAACTGAGTATACAATATAATCTAATGTTGCTATATGGCAACCTTAACAGTAATGAACTCTACACCATGTTCCCCTAGAGAGCTATGTAGTGTTTCCCTGAGGGCATGATTTTGGAACAGTTTTTCAATAGGAAAAAGAATCATCTAATGTACACTTAGCAAAAGGTGAAGCTTTAAATGGCAATGACAGTTTAGTTAATATGTATCTTTAAGTTGTTTCCTTTTTTTAGCTGAACAGATAACAATTTCTGTATGTGGTGCAATAATACAGAACCAGTGGTATTGGGACTTCTATTTAGGAGACTATACCTTGTCTAAGTGTGGCCCAAATGCATAGGCAGACACATAGCCTTTTTAATGTATCTCTCCATAACATTATTCCTGGGAGCAGGAACCGAGAAAGGCAACTTGGAGCTGACTTCACAGAGCGTGGCAGAGTGAGCGCCCCGAATTGGTTCCAGGACAGCTGGAGCCCTGATTGTGGTCTGAGATACTTATACATTCTTGACTGTCTCAGCCAACCCCCTGGAGGAGGACTTTTCATCTAATGTTTGTTGAGTAGTTTCCTGACACTAAATCCATAATATTTCTAACAAGGGCCCTCTTGCCACTTAACTTGCCTCACTTTAATTTCTTATGTCCTGTTTCTTTCTTCAGAGATAATATAATAGGGTATTCTGGAAAAGACTTGGATCTGAGAGGTTTTTAAAAAAAAAAAAAAAACCTCTGAAGAGAAACCAAGAAGAATGTCATTTAAAAAATTTAAGTATTTCCTGCCTCAATATAAATAAAGAGTTGAGTTCATTTTTACAGTATATTATCTTATTAATTTTTGAAATTTTTTTGTGAGGTAGGGTCTCACTATGTTGTCCAGGCTGGTCTCAAACACTTGGCTCAAGCAATCTTCCCACCTTGGCCTCTCAAGTAGCTGGGATTACAGGTCCATGCCACCATGGCTGGCTATTCTTTTCATTCTGGTTTTATTCTATTCGAGTTTTATTCAAAACTGAAACAAAACAGAAATATTTTAATGGTAGACCCGTTTAATTAAACAAAAATATCTACCATTGGTTCTTGGAAGAAAAATTAAACACAGTAAAACAACCCCAAACTGAGAAATTCAATGTTCTGATGGTAATGTAGCCACCGAGCAAAACTTGAGGTCAGTAACATTGTCCTCCCCTTATGTTTATTCTGTATCCATAACACAGAGGTGTCCAGCACAAGGCAGGCACTCAGCACTTATCTGTTGACTGCCTGACTTGTCTCTACCACTTTAGTAGTTGTACAGGTGTCTGTGTTCCAGATCGAGTTCATCTCTTATCTTACACTGCAATAGTGTGGGCCTTATCTTAGCAAATGGTGTGTGTTTCTCAAATTGTGTGCAACTTAAATTCTTATAAAATAATCATTTAAAATACATCAAGGGAAAACCATTTTGAGAACCCTACTGTGAATTTTTTTGCTGATTATCTTAGGAAGATGAAAGTGGAATATGTTTTATGTGTATGATTCTGTCTTATAGAAGTAGACCACTTTTACAATTAGGGCTACTACCATTGATGTAATTGATAGTCTTCACTCCCTGCATCCCAGAAAGGCCTGTGTTGTTTTTGTTACATATGTACTTATTAGAAATTATTTCTCACTATACTAATTTCCCTGAATATTTCTGCTGAGATTTTACAGGAAAGTCTGTTTCTGGTTTCATGTAGCTTTGTTTACGGGTAGGATGGGATCTTCTTCTCATTAGCACATTAAGGGGAGAGAATCTGGAAGGAGTGAATTTTGTTTTGTTCTGTTCCTCCACTAGCCACTATATGAATGTAGTAAGAAGCAGAGGGCAAATGGGTAGAAAACAAGTGTAAGTTGGAAAATTCATGCAGAACCCCAAGGAAGAGAGGACAAATGAAGATAAAGCCCCAACACAACTGAAGTTACCATATACATTCAAAAAAGAATCCTATTCATGCCTATAAGATATAATACATTACTGAGGGAACAAACTGCCGTCAAACATATGGCATGCCAATAAAGAAAGGAGAAGAAATCCCAGGAGCCCAGATCAATAAAAATTGTTTGATTACATAGTATTATGGTTGACTAAATGCATTTTAAAATATTATTTTCTCAGATACTGAACAATCTTCTCATAACAGCTATTGATTATTTGGGTTCAATACCCTGTAAGTCTAATAATGTTTCCAGAATTGCTGCAACTATGGATTATAATAGCCTAATGAATCACAATTGTTGAGCTCCTAAGATAAGTTGAATCCAGTCCCTTTGTCCTGTATTATAAAGGGCTTCTGCTGTGCATGTCATTTAAAAGTATTCAGCTCACAGAAAGCTATAGCTAACAAAAGGTCCAACAAGGTAGAAGAAAAATAGATCGATTTAATTCCTCTGAGCTCAACATCAACATGTTTTGGGCTGACAGGTAAATATTGACTGAAACAGACCTGAGGGCCTCAAGACATGCAGAAAAAAATCCTTGCCCTATTCCTGGACAAAGGCCACAGTTTTCGTTTTTCTTAATGATAACAAAAGGTTATTGGAAGTCAGGCATTGCATGGCAGAGCCACATAGAGCTCCTTTTTACCTCTTTAGGAAATGTAGAAAATCCTGTCACCTGCCTGAGGAAATGACAAAAACTCCTGAAGATGGAGAGAGAGAGAAATCCGGAGTGTCGTGCAGTGATTAAATGATGTGTTACAGCATGGAACTAGTGCTGAATAATTGGCCAGAGGTGACTAGAAATATGGGTTAGAGTAACTTCTTTAAGCCAAGAATGTGGGAAGTTAGTTCCAAAATGAACCACCCTGTACTCATTCTGAACAAATTTGGTTTTACAAATTCTACTGCAATATAGCAAATTGTGTCTCTAATCTGTATCTGAATATGAATTAATTTTGTGGTCCACAGTAGGTACAATATTAAGTAGGGGCAGTAAGTGGGGTGGTAACATTTTACAGCAAATTACTTTATGCTTCTTATGGAGATTAAGACATAATTCCCTGCTTGAATAATGAATACCAATAATAGCATTATTCAGCCACAAAGGCAAACTTCAGTACATATGATGAATGAAAATAATACCTAACATGTATTATATCCCTTTTACGTAACAGACACTATTCTAATTGTGTTGCATGTATTAGCTCACTTAATCCACATTCAATCCTATGGGGTAGCAGAGTGGCCAAGGTTAATTGGTCCTCCATGATATTTCTTATTGTCTTCCATGCGCTGGGCCCTATGCTAGTTCAGCCCTCACCATTTCTCTCCTGGAGCTCTGTGGGTGCCATCCAATGAGTCTTATTGCTTCACTGTATATGCTGCACCCACGTTGATTTTCCTGAGGTCAACCAAGTTCTTAGCTAAATTAGAAGTAGATGCTTACTTAGAATAAGTGAAGAATCTGAGCTTTCCTGGAAAAGCTATTGCAGACACTTTCAGGCAAATGAGCAGGACTGAGAGAAAAATATCCATTAATCGGCAGGGATAGCTGGCCAGAGTCAGAGCTGTGTTACGAAGAGTGAAGAAGGCAGTTTCAAAGGCAAGTCAGGACAGTGGCTGTAGGCTAGATCAAAGTGTGCTTTTCTCAGTCAGGAGATGAAGGGGACACAAGCCAGGAAGTTGGCAGACAGAACATGCAGGAGGCAAGCTTGGCAGAGCCCACGGCCCCAGATGCCTTGAGGGCTAGTGTAAGGAAGAGTGAGCCTGTTGGTTAGAGAGAAAAGGTAGGTAAAATGGTACCATCCTTTGAGTCCCTTTACTCACAGGTCTTACTATTCCTTCTCTAATGCCTTTTCATTGTTGACTTGAGAATATAACATGTCAATACATTTCCTCAAAAAGATTTGTGGAGAAGGGCCTCACTATGGACAATGTGCTACCCCGTATCCCCAAACTCAGCCTCAATTCTGATGCCTGGAGCCAACCCAGAAAAGGAAGCTTTGCAAATAGTCTGAGAACCTGCCTAGACCCTGTTTGACACTGGTGCCAAATGCAAACCGCTGTGGCTGAGCAGTGTGACCCATCCCTGGTTCTGACGAGACTGATAAGAAGGAGCTAGAATCTGGTGAGCTAACCACTTTGGGCTTCATTAGCGTAGAACCCGTGCTGTATGAACTCATCCATGTCCCTGCTTTTGTGTTTTTCTTTCTTTTCTTTGGTTGTTCTTCCACTGTTGTAGTTGCCTACATCTAAACTCAGCCTTCAGGACCCTGAATCCGAATTTCAGATTCCTTAACCAGTTTACTAGACATGAGCATCCTGAGGAGTGGAGAGAGGATGACGAAGAGGTTAGGAACACACACTTAAGAGTCAGACCTAGGTAAGAATCCTGATCTTTAATATCTATGTGGCCCTGAAAAAGTCCCTTTCCCTTGCCTTGGTGTTTTCCTTGACAAATGAAGATAATAAGTTGCTAGAGAAACATTATAACAATTATATAATATAGATAAAATGCTTAGTATAAACCCTAGTCCATAGTATAATAAAAGCTCATAAATGAAAATATTTTAAATTTATCTTGTACCTAATAGTGTTTGGCATATTGGGGATACATAATAATTGTTCATTGGATTTAACTGAATTTTTTTTTTTTAGTGGACATATTCAGTAAGCGTAGTGATGTGGTAGGAATTTGATACAAAGTTCTAGACGTTTTCAGGACCAATCTAGAGTCATGAGGAGCTGTCACTTGATCTGTTAAACAAGCTCACTAATGACCCATGAGTCTTCAGGTTTTTTTTTTTTCTTTGAAATAGAGTCTCACCCTGTTGCCCAGGCTGGAGTCTAATGGTGCAATTTCAGCTCACTGCAACCTCTGCCTCCTGGGTTCAAATGATTCTCCTACCTCAGCCTCCCGAGTAGCTGGGATTACAGGTGTGTGCCACCATGCCTGGCTAATTTTTTGTATCTTTAGTAGAGACAGTGTTTCACCATGTTGGCCAGTCTGGTCTTGAACTCCTGACCTCGTCATCTGCCTACCTCAGCCTCCCAAAGTTCTGGGATTACAGACGTGAGCCACTGTGCCTGTCTGGGCCTTAAGTTTTTTTTTTTTTTTTTTTTTTTTTGAGATGGAGTCTTGCTCTGTTGCCCAGCCTGGAGTGTAGTGGCACAATCTCGGCTCACTGCAAGCTCCGCCTCCCAGGTTCATGCCATTCTCCTGCCTCAGCCTCCCCAGTAGCTGGGACTACAGGCACCCGCCACCACACCTGGCTAATTTTTTGTATTTTTTTAGTAGAGACGGGGTTTCACCGTGTTAGCCAGGATGGTCTTGATCTCCTGACCTCATGATCCACCCACCTCGGCCTCCCAAAGTGCTGGGATTACAGGCATGAGCCACTGCGCCCAGCTGCCTTTAGGTTTGAATATGTTTGTTTTCACACAGATACATGAATCTTTGAACTGAAAGCAAAAGTAGCCCCAGGGCATTGTGGCCAGAATCAGTTCTGCTTGTGCTCCTTATAGTTCACTAAAAAGTGAACCGCAGCTCCAGGCTTAGTTACCAAAGGCTAAAGACCATAGCCAGGCTAGGTCCACATGTGGCTCAGTTTCCCAACACTGTAATTCTCTGTTCTTTTAAAAATATTCCTTCCTTTGACTTTAAAATAGTAAAATAAGCTGTTTAGTGAAATTATTTCTTCTGAGGAAAGCTCCACAATTTGAAATGACACAATAAGCTGCCAATAAAAAGAATTAATACAAGAAATCACTTGAAAAGGGTTTTCCTAGGAGACAGAGACAGGTCAGTCACCCAGTCAGTGACAGTTATTGTCTTCTTTGTGCTGAAAATGATGAATATGCAAACCATAGCACCCAAGGTTAAGAGAAAAATGACTGAAGAAGACAACATGTTCTATGAATTTAGAGGAAGGAAAGATTGGTAGCACATGATGTGAACTTAGAGAATTACCTAAGTATTCCTGCTTCTCTGCCTCCTTCTGCACCCCAATCAATTCACAAACTTTGGCCCAGAGAGCCAGGATGGTTAGGGGATACCTCCAAGCCACAGCCAGTGAGTAAAAGAACCGCTGACCTCTAGTCCAGAGCTTGTAGTCCTGGATGTCTCCTCTGTCCCTCTGCGGTGAGATGGAGAAGGTTTGCACAGGCTCTTTGGATAAAGAGGACCTGACACAGGTTTTGATGGATGGGTGGATTTTGGAAAAGTAGGAAGGTGGGGAAAGTTATTCCAGCTAGGGGAAATGACGAAAGTATGCAAAATTGGAAAAGTGGGACAATAAAAGATACCTTCCCAGAACACTGCATGAATGAGTTTTATTGTTATGGGAATTAACAATAAATATAGGGCAGGTCCTTGAAATATGGGCGTCTGCTTCTCTCATTCTTGCTTTAAAACCTTTGAAGACTACTCATTGCCTAAAGTCCAAATTCCTTAATAGAGAATTAAGAGTCTTTCACATTTTTGGTTTAATCTACTTGCCTTGTCTGTTTCTCCTCTGCCACTGGAGATTAACGTTCCACAGACAGGTCTTGGGTACTATTATGACCCTACCATGTACTTACTAGGTTGGTGCAAACGTAATTGCTGTTTTTGCCATTACTTTCAATGGCAAAAACCACAATTACGTTTGCACCAACCTAATGTAATGTTCTTTGATAGGAAATGCCTTTTTTCTTTTCTGGCTAGCATCTGTGAATGAAGCCTTCCTCCAGCGTCACTTCCTGTGCTTTGGAGGTAGAATCAGTCATTGTCTCTTCTGCTGCTCCAGTATCAGGTTTCCTCTCCCATGATGGCACTGTGTGATCAGGACTTTTTTCTGTGAGTGACTTGAGTAGTGAGACCTTCTACAATGCCTGAAATTTTATAAACATATGTCATTTATAAATGTCTACTGAACTAGTATGAAACCTAAGTGAAGATGTACCTATTAATTCACAATTTAATAAGATTCACAAGGCAACTCCTCCAGAATGGTCAGTTTTGCACTACAGCCTGTAAGAGGCTGGAACCAAAGGTATACAAGTGTATTTTGGAGTGAGGAGAGTGGCTGCTTGGATTGGGAGAGTTTTAACAATGAGATAGTTGTATACAAAGTCAAATGTGGATGACAACATATAGCAAATATTTCAAGGAGGAGCAGACTTCTTACTGAGGAACGTGAGAGCTATCTAACCTTCTAAATACTATCCCGTGTAAGGGGAACTATAGGGAAGAGAAACTAGATCTCAATGCTCCCTAAAGTTTCCATAAATTGTTTCATGGATGGGGAGTGGCTTGGAATTCCTAGTCACTCAATACTTGGCCATAGTATAGATTTAGAATACTCAAGACTAATGCATTCTCTTTACTAAAATCTGGCAATTTGGTATAGAGAAGTGGGTTGACTTGTTTGAGACTCATAAGGACATGTTTTTCCTGTCTGTCTTTATGTATAAGCCAAGGTAGTTATAAGGTGGGGACTCCCTGATCTCTTTTACTTAAGTTTGCTATGTCCACCAGATGCTGCTATCCTTACCATGAAAGGGGCACGTGAGAGATTTGCACTATCTTCCTCATGCCTGTTTTCTTCTGGGATCTATGTTAGTCTCCTTCTTGCCTTCTGCATTTGGGGAACCCCTGATCATAAGATGTCCTTAGGTTTCATCTTGCCAGGCCAATCATATGCGAGTTAAGACACGAAGAAAGCTCGCCGGACAGAAGAAAAGTAGGAGGGTTAAGGGAAGAACAGCACATTCATGCTAATATATTTCTACTGAGAACATTTTTTGGCCTCACTAACATATCCATCCTCTCATTGACGCCTTTCTGTTTCCATGAGTCTCTGACTTTGGTTTTGTGTTGAGTAGATTTGGGAAAAGCCTAATGTGTCCAGGTCAAACACATAGGATTCCATGAACTAAAAAATAAATTACTTCTCAAATTATTTTACTATAGCCCACTTGGCCATCATGAAGCCATTGATGGGATTATTTGTACTTGGGTGATCTTCTGCTTAGTTATGAATATCTACATGGATACAAAGTAGAAACAACTCCTTAAAATAAAAACAGGTAACATTGTAAGGCCAGTTTCCAAGAAATCATCCAATCAAAACCTCACTCTCATTTCTCCAATCAACTGTGGTTATTTGCATTTCAACTGTACTGTATTTTAACTGTGTGTCAAAATAACTTTAGCTCCCTCTTAAGAAAAAAGTTGACTCAAGGAAAGGAACTGCAGAGATAGATTTTCTCAGATGTGGAAAATAATACTATGCCATACATGCTTCATTGTCTTATTTATTTATTTATTTTTTGGTGAAGCGTTTAAAAAAAATTAAACCTGATGTCATTTCGCTCATACATACTCAGGGATGTGCCTAAAAAATTTAGATGTTTTCTCTCGTCATTGCAATGACTCACACCTAACGCAGTTAATAATTGCTTGGTATCAATCTAATACCAAGAGCATTTTCAAATTTTTCTCATTACCTAAAAAAAATTTTTTATAGTTAATTGACTTAGAGTTCAAAGTCCACACATTGTATATGAATGTATTTGGATCACTTCAGCTGGATACAATAGCTCACACCTGTAATCCTAGCTGCTCTGAAGGGAGGCTGAAGCCAGTGGATTGCTTGAGGCCAGGAGATCAAGACCAGCCTGGGCAACATAGGGAGACCCCATACCTATTAAAGAAAACAAAGAAAAATTAGCTGGGTGTGGTGGTGAGTCTATACTCCCAACTACTAGGGACGGTGAGATAGGAGAATCACCTGAGCCCAGAATCAAGGCTGCAGTGAGCTATGATCATGCCACTGCACTCCAGCATGAGTGACAAAGTGAGAATCTCTTGAAAAATCAAAAGCTCACTTTAAATCTAGAGCAGTTCCTAGACCACCTTGAACGTCCCACATTCTGGATTTGTGTATTTTCTCATTGCGTCATGTGATGTATGTGTTTTCTATCTCCTATAAACTGGATCTTAGTTTTAATTACATTAAGTTCAGCCTTCTTGGAGGGTGGGTGGGTGCACAAATACTTTATAGGTGGTGCTGTACAATTCCTATTGCATCACATCAGGAGGTATGTGATATCTGGTTGTTCTACCTACATGGTGCTTTAAGACAGGTCACACAAACTACAGCTCACATGCCAAGTCTGGCCTGCTGCCTGTTTTTGTAAATAAGGTGTTAGGGGAACACAGCCACACTCATGTCATCTACGATAATGGCAGCGATGAGTAGTTGCTACAGAGATGGTATAGTCTGCCAAGCCTAAAATATTTATCTGGTCCATTACAAAAAATATTTGTTAATTCCTGGTTTAGTGTATACATGTTATGACAAACTTATCCTCCAAATGAGGAACCAAGGGCTCTAACTGCTAAACTGACTTGCCTAAGATCACACAGTCAGTAAGTGGAGGAAACAGGGCCCACCAAGCCTTCTTTCTGTAGATCCTGTCTCTGCTCCTTACCCGATCTTCTTGCCCTCCCATTAAGCCATTCTGCTTCCCAAATACCAAGTAGGCAGGTATCAGCAAAAGTTTTATTCTATCCCTACCCTGTTCCCACGAGCATTCCAACAAAGCTAGAACTCAGATACTTGAAAGATGCACAGAGAAGGAGGTGTAATCTGATACTTTTAGCTGTAAGTGACAGCAAATTGGACTCAAACTAGCTTGAACAGGAATTTATTAACTGTCTTAACCTGAAGCCAACGGTGCTCTCAAGGTCCCATGTTCATTCTGTCTCTTTTTTCTGTCTGCTTAGTGTTGATTTCACTTCTTTATGTTAGTTCCCCTCCTGATCTCAGATGGTGGCCAAAGGGCTACATGCATTCTTGCCACACCCAGCGGGAGAGAGGGAAGAGAAACCATACTTTCAAAGATGGCATATTATCCAGGTGCAGTGGCTCGCACTTGAAATTCCAGCACTTTGGGACACCGAGGCAGATGGATCACTTGAGCCCAGGAGCTCAAGAACAGCCTGGGCAACATGGCAAAACCCCATCTCTACAAGACAGACAAACAAACAAAACCAAAATTGGTCGGGCATGGTGACGTGCTCCTGTAGTCTCCCAGCTACTCAGAGGCTGAGGTAGGAGGATTGCTTGAGCCCAGGAGATTGAGGCTGCAGTGAGCCATGATAGCACCACCGCACTCTAGCCTGGGCGACAGAGCAACACCTTGTCTCAACAACAACAACAAACAAACAAACGAAAACCAGCTGGCATATGAGTGTTTTTTCCTTTAGTCTAATTAGGCCCCCACCTCCATCTCTAGAATACTAATTGCAGCCAGGAGAACCACATACATTAATTGGCTGGGAATAATCAGGTTCATCTCCTTCTAGGGCTAGAAATGGAGTGGATATGTGAACAGCAATTAGGATTTTGTTAGAAAGGAGAGGGGGAAATGAAGGGGAAAATCAAGTTTTGGGGAAACTGTGGTTCATGGTCTTTATAGGGGCTAATTTAGACACTGTAGTCTTTTTTTTTATTTTTATTAAACTTTAAGCTCTAGGGTACATGTGTACAACTTGCAGGTTTGTTACATAGGTATACATGTGCCATATTGGTTTGCTGTACCCATTAACTCATCATTTACATTAGGTATTTCTCCTAATGCTATCCCTTCCCCTGCACCCCACCCCACAACAGGCCCCTGTGTGTGATGTTCCCTGCCCTGTGTCCAAGTATTCTCATTGTTCAATTCCCACCTAAGAGTGAGAACATGTGTTTGGTTTTCTGTCCTTGTGATAATCTGCTCACAATGATGGTTTCCAGCTTCATCCATGTCCCTAAAAAGGACATGAACTCGTCCTTTTTTATGGCTGCATAGTATTCCATGGTGTATATGTGTCACATTTTCTTAATCCAGTCCATCATTGATGGACATTTGGGTTGGTTCCAAGTCTTTGCTATTGTGAATAGTGCCGCAATAAACATACGTGTGCATGTGTCTTTATAGTAGCATGATTTATAATCTTTGGGTATATACCCAGTAATGAGATGGCTGCGTCAAATGGTATTTCTAGTTCTAGATCCTTGAGGAATTGCCACACTGTGTTCCACAATGGTTGAACTAGTTTACACTCCCACCAACAGTGTAAAAGCATTCCTACTTCTCCACAACCTCTCCAGCATCTGTTGTTTCCTGACTTTTTAATGATCACCATTCTAACTGGTGTGAGATGGTATCTCATTGTGGTTTTGATTTGTGCTTCTCTGATGGCCAGTGATGATGAGCATTTTTTCATGTGTCTATTGGCTGCATAAATGTCTTTTTTTGAGAAGTGTCTGTTCATACCCTTTGCCCACTTTTTGATGGGGTTGTTTGATTTTTCCTTGTAAATTTGTTTGAGTTCATTGTAGATTCTGGATATTAGCCCTTTGTCAGATGGGTAGATTGCAAAAATTTTCTCCCATTCTGTAGGTTGCCTGTTTACTCTGATGGTAGTTTCTTTTGCTGTGCAGAAGCTCTTTAGTTTAATTAGATCCCATTTGTCTATTTTGACTTTCGTTGCCATTGCTTTTGGTGTTTTAGTCATGAAGTCCTTGCACATGCCCATGTCCTGAATGGTATTGCCTAGGTTTTCTTCTAGGGTTTTTATGGTTTTAGGTCTAACATTTAAGTCTTTAATCCATCTTGAATTAATTTTTGTGTAAGGCGTGAGGAAGGGATCCAGTTTCAGCTTTCTACATATGGCTAGCCAGTTTTCCTAGCACCATTTATTAAATAGGGAATCCTCTCCCCATTTCTTGTTTTTGTCAGGTTTGTCAAAGATCAGATGGTTGTAGATGTGTGGTGTTATTTCTAAGGCCTCTGTTCGGTTCCATTGGTCTATCTCTCTGTTTTGGTACCAGTACCATGCTGTTTTGGTTACTGTAGCCTTGTAGTATAGTTTGAAGTCAGGTAGCATGATGCCTCCAGCTTTGTTCTTTTTGCTTAGGATTGTCTTGGCAATGTGGGCTCTTTTTTGGTTCCATATGAACTTTAAAGAAGTTTTTTCCAATTCTGTGAAGAAAGTCATTGGTAGCTTGATGGGGATGGCATTGAATCTACAAATTACCTTGGGCAGTATGGCCATTTTCATGATATTGATTCTTCCTATCCATGAGCATGGAATGTTCTTCCATTTGCTTGTGTCTTCTTTTATTTTGTTGAGCAGTGGTTTGTAGTTCCCCTTGAAGAGGGTCCTTCACATCCCTTGTAAGTTGTATTCCTAGGTATTTTATTCTCTTTGTAGCAATTGCAAATGAGAGTTCACTTATTATTTGGCTCTGTGTTTGTCTGTTATTGGTGTATAGGAATGCTTGTGATTTTTGCACATTGATTTTTTATCCTGAGACTTTGCTGAAGTTGCTTATCAGCTTAAGGAGATTTTGGGCTGAGATGATGGGGTTTTCTAGGTATACAGTCATGTCATCTGCAAACAGGGACAATTTGACTTCCTCTTTTCCTAATTGAATACACTTTATTTCTTTCTCTTGCCTGATTGTGCTGGCCAGAGCTTCCAACACTGTGTTGAATAGGAGTGGTGAGAGAGGGCATCTCTGTCTTGTGTCAGTTTTCAAAGGGAATGCTTCCAGTTTTTGCCCATTTGGTATGATATTAGCTGTGAGTTTGTTATGAATAGCTCTTATCATTTTGAGATATGTTCCATCAATACCTAGTTAATTGAGAGTTTTTAGCATGAAGGGCTGTTGAATTTTGTCAAAGGCCTTTTCTGCATCTATTGAGATAATCAAGTGGTTTTTGTCATTGGTTCTGTCTATGTGATGGATTATGATTATTGATTTGTGTATCTTGAACCAGTCTTGCATCCCAGGGATGAAGCCGACTTGATCATGGTGGATAAGCTTTTTGATGTGCTGCTGTATTTGGTTTGCCAATATTTTATTGAGGATTTTCACATCAATGTTCATCAGGGATATTGGTTTAAAATTCTTTTTTTGTTGTGTCTCTGCCAGGCTTTGGTATCAGGATGATGCTAGCCTCATAAAATGAGTTACGGAGGATTCCGTCTTTTTCTATTCATTGGAATAGTTTCAGATGGTATGGTACCAGCTCCTCTTTGTACCTCTGGTAGAATTCGGCTGTGAATCTGGTCCTGGACTTTTTTTGGTTGGTAGGCTATTAATTATTGCCTCAGTTTCGGAGCATGTGATTGGTCTATTCAGGGATTCAACTTCTTTCTGGTTTAGCCTTGGGAGGGTGTATATGTCCAGGAATTTATCCATTTCTTCTAGATTTTCTAGTTTATTTGTGTAGAGGTGTTTATAGTATTCTCCGATGGTAGTTTGTATTTCTGTGGGATTGGTGGTGATATCCCCTTTATCATTTTTATTGCATCTATTTGATTCTTCTCTCTTTTATTCTTTATTAGTCTTGCTACCAGTCTATCAATTTCATTGATCTTTTCAAAAAACCAGCTCCTGGATTCACTGATTTTTTGAAGGGTTTTTTTATGTCTCTATCTCCTTCAGTTCTGCTCTGACCTTAGTTATTTCTTGCCTTCCGCTAGCTTTTGAATGTGTTTGCTCTTGCTTCTCTAGTTCTTTTAATTGTGATGTTAGGGTGTCGATTTTAGATCTTTCCTGCTTTCTCTTGTGGGCATTTAGTGCTATAAATTTCCCTCTAAACACTGCTTTAAATGTGTCCCAGAGATTCTGGTACCTTGTGTCTTTGTTCTCATTGCTTTCAAAGAACATCTTTATTTCTGCCTTCATTTCGTTATTTACCCAGTAGTCATTCAGGAGCAGGTTGTTCAATTTCCATGTAGTTGTGCAGTTTTGAGTGAGTTTCTAATCCTGAGTTCTAATTTGATTGCACCATGGTCTGAGAGACAGTGTGTTGTGATTTCTGTTGTTTTACATTTGCTGAGGAGTGCTTTGCTTCCAACTATGTGGTCAATTTTGGAATAAGTGTGATGTGGTGCTGAGAAGAATGTATATTCTGTTGATTTGGGGTGGAGAGTTCTGTAGATGTCTATTAGATCCACTTGGTGCAGAGCTGAGTTCAAGTCCTGGATATCCTTGATAACCTTCTGTCTCATTGATCTGTCTAATATTGACAGTGGGGTGTTAAAATCTCCCATTATTATAGTATGGGAGTCTATGTCTCTTTTTAGGTCTCTCAGGACTTGCTTTATGAATCTGGTGCTCCTGTATTGGGTGCATACATATTTAGGATAGTTAGCTCTTCTTGTTGAATTGATCCCTTTCCCATTATGTAATGGTCTTCTTTGTCTCTTTTGATCTTTCTTGGTTTAAAGTCTGTTTTATCAGAGACTAGGATTACAACCCCTGCTTTTTTTTGCTTTCCATTTGCTTGGTAGATCTTCGTCCATCCCTTTATTTTGAGCCTATGTGTGTCTCTGCACTTGAGATGGGTCTCCTGAATACAGCACACTGATGGGTCTTCACTCTTTATCCAATTTGCCAGTCTGTTAGACACCATATTCTTTATGGGGCTAATAAGAATATGTCCCTGCTGGGGAAAAAGAAATTCTGACTAAATCCGCTGTCTCTGATTAACTGTGTCTATTGTTTGTACACTAGGATGAGATTTGGTCTCAGGGTGGAACATTTGTAAAATATTTATATTCCATTAGCTTTTAAATCCAAGGTTATCTTCATAGAAAAATTACAAATTTCCATCAATAGGTAACATTTACATATTTTTCAAATATTTAAAATAAACTTGAAGTGAATAGCGCTTAAATGATAATGACTTATTAATTTGTTTCAGAAACTTGCAGAAGTAGATCTGCAATAATGAAGGAAAAAACAATCAGTAAGAACCAAAACTATATGAACTATAGCATGGGATTTTTAACCTAAGGAAAAAACTGTTAAAAAAGCAACTGTAATTTATTTCTGTGCTAACAAGTTCTTGACAGGTTAACTTTAGATAATTTAGATAACGGCAAGAACATTACCTTTTTTGTACACTGTGTTATAAAGTTTGGAAGGAGAAAATGTAAAGATGGATTTTTGGAAGATGTAGTTCAGTACTTCTAAAATATAACTGTCTATTATAATCACCTGGAAAGTTTTTGTTAAATTCAGAAATTCTATTTTAATTGGGGTGGGGGTGATTTTTAAAAAACTCCCCAAGTGATTCTAGTGTACAGTCAGCTTTAGTTGAATCTAAAGACAGGCCAAAAACCCTACTGAGGGATCATCCACTCTAGGCCTGGACCCCAGTGCTCAAGTCTAAACCAGAGAGACCAATTATGATATTTCATTGATTTTAAGATGTGCGCCATAGCTTCTGCCCACCTCTGCCAAATGCATCTCTGAAACTGGGACATGCTCAGCCGAGGCAGGCACTCAGACAGCCTGAGCAGGTGCAGCATCACCTGCAGCCAGAGTGGCAGCAGGTTGGAGGAAATTGCTTGGGCTAGGGTTTTTCTCCTTTAAGAAATGCAGCATCACTCTCACTTACCATACATAGATATGCACAAGAGTAATATATGAGCAAATCTGTCAAATAAATCTAGAAGGACTTTCAAAAAATGTGAATAATTCTAAGTGAGAAGAAAACTTTGATTGATAGTTTAATTGGTAACAATTTTGTCTCCTTTCTTTGTAGTATACAATGTAATCAGTAGTATCTTAGATTTGATGAAATATGGTAACAATCATCTAGTGTTACAATAAATGTATTTTTGAAAGAAAGAAACCACTATTGATCATAAATAGGCAACAATGACAACAAATCCTTACTTTTTCTCACCTTTCTCCCTGTGATAACTAGATACTTAGTCATTTGAAAATCAGCTTCTTCCTTCTCCCATGACAAAGTTATCTATGCATTCCAATCAACAGTGAGGACTCTAGTCAGCTAGTTGTTTTTTCCAATCCTGCTTTTAATATCCGTTGTGAACATTGATTTTAAGCAGAGTCATTAGCTGCCTTTATGGTATGACATGAAGGGTGCTGAGAAGCTTGTCCTGGAAAAACACACTATTTTTCATCAATGCCCAGACTTTAATTGATAGAAATTTTTTTTACTTTGGGTTATTATCATTAGATACTGTTCAATACATGCCTGATAGAGGTAGTACATTAAACACCTCTTTCCCCACTAATAACTTAGTAAATTAGTTTATCACAACATTTTAAGTGTGTCGTTATGGGAGGACAGTATTTGATACAGAAGGGAAAAGAAGAAAGAGTAGAGAGATATGTCCAAGGCAGTGGTATGTTGGTATGTGATTAACAATGGGCTGGACTCCAGGAAGGAAAAAGCCCTGATGTGTAGCACTTGCCAATTTCCATGGTGTAAATATCTCCACTATTACTGATTTCAAGCTACGAACCTCTGGTTACTGAATGTGAAGTTGAGAAGTTGAGAGCAGAAACAAAGGAAAACCTGGGCAAATTCTTTGAGCAAATAAAGATAGTAGAGGGCAGATGAGAGGAGAAAAGACCCTGTGGCTTCCTCAGGTCTGTGGAGGGTAGCAATGTTAAAAGGATGTGCCTGCTGATTAAGGATGGATCCTTAATCTACTCCTATTTCCCAGTTTTTCAAGTATAATGGAACAGAATTGTAGTCCCACTCTTCTTTATTATTTTTAATTAAAAATTTATTGGGTGATTTTATGACTTTATAGTTCAATCAAGAGTGGTTTATTTCTCCAACAAATATCGGTAGAATCAAGCTGTAAATCTGTGTATCTTGGGTGTTTAGCTACCTCTACACACATGGAAGACATACACGTTTTTGGCTTTTGATTTAATAAATTAGAAGATTCTCATATTTGTGGTCTTCTTGAATATGTGTATAAACACACACATATTATTATTTGTGGAAAAATTATTATTTTCCACATATTATTAGTGGAAAAAAGGAAGATGCCCAATTAAAATTACATGCAAAGAAAACATTTTGTCATTTTAATTTTATTATTGGTTATTTTTTAAAACAGAAAATCTGTCATGATGTGCTCTCTGAAAAAGAATCATTGGGAGCCTTATGTGGTTCTAAACATTTCACACTTTTGAGAAAAATAATGAAATAGTAATTTAAATAGGCATTTTAGACTTTAAAGAAAGAACAAACTTTTCCTAGAAAGAGACACAGGTTAAAGGCTTCCTTTGAGAATTTTTTTCCCTTCTAATTAGTTATGTATTGATGTTATGTGTCTCATGTTAATTACCTAATTTCTCCCCAGAGATCAAGAACTCAGCCATGAAAAATCAGGATGCTTTGCTCAGGAAGAAGCTGAAACAATTTTGTTTATAATGATATGGTGGATATAAAAGATGTAATGAAATGGAAATCTTAAGTAGGAGATGTAGAGAAATATAATATAATCTCTTTATCATTTTTAAGCAAAAAAGGAATTTTTCAATCTATAAATGTATAATTCTACAGGAAACTCACATATGGGCTCAGATTCAGAAAAGTAATTGTCAGGTTTTTCTTACTTAATACTTTTCCCCATCTTACTTACTCTCCTCCTCTTTCCCAGTCCGTAAGGACCTCTGTCTCAGGAGAGGCTCATGGATGGACAGTAAATGAATGCTCTTCTGAACTTTTGCTTTAACTATATGGATGTGTTTATGGAACTCTCATTTGGTGATGGTAGCCTATAAAATGTTTGTTGAACTTGGAACAGTGTCAAGATTTTTCGATGGGTCTCAAAAATAATTGTAATAGTTTCCCCTACCCCCTTGTTTTTTGTTTTTTAAACAAAAATCTCATGCCCCTACAGCTATTTAAAGGAAAAAAACACAGAAGGAAACAAAACCCAGATTTGGTACCTGAAATATAAATTCTGGAAGAATTTCTAATTTGCAGGTTGTATATCTTGGTTGAGCAAATCTTTGCTTAGCTAATCAAGTGCAGAAAATTGGACTAGGAATTTTCTGAAGATAGTTTATAAATAAATAACACTGATAGTATCAGAGACAGATGGCTATCTTTCTCTAAATATATCCTCTAAGGATAAATTTAAATATATATATACACATGTATATTTCCAGTCATATGAGTATTTTTCTATGAAATATTCTCATTGATTAGTTTTTAGCAAGCATTCCATAGCCTCGATTTACAAACAGGATGACTTCCTTGTCCTCCATTTGGTATTTTTTGCCATTTTTTTCTAAATTTAAATAAGTTATTTGTAACTATATGAATATGCATGCTTTATGACAATGAAGCAAAACCTTCCACATGCTGGCTGACTTCTAAATTCCCAAGGTTTCATGGCACTATGGTGGGTGAGAAATACACAAACTTCACAAGAAGGGCAAAGTTGAACATTCCGGTTTACTTTTTTGAGCTGGGGTTGGTGTTTTATATTTTTCTTTCTTCCCAGGCCACCTCTTACTGTTTTGTGTAGTTAATAGCCAGCTCAGCCACAAGGTCCATATGCCTCCAAAGTGTTTATGGGGCACCTGCACCTGAGAATTTGATAAGGAATTCCTGCTGTGATAAAAAGTGCTCTTAGGTCAAATGCGTAGTGGTAAAATTAATTGTTTTGAGACTGTGTGTCTCAAGCCATCTATAAAAGTTGTATTATTTACTGCCTAGGATACCACCTGTGTAATGCAGCTGTCTCAACCATTTTATGCACCCATACACACTCCCCCACATGCATACACAGAAAGAAAGAGAAAGGGAGGAAGAGAGAAATTATATTCAAGGGGTGATTTTATTTGGGTTAAAGCCGTACTCTCTAGAGGTTTTGTTTTTCACCTAATTGAAAACATCTACAATACTCCTGCCAAAGAACCCCGAACACAGGCCAACCTGGAGATGGCGGCCTTCCCGTCTCCAAACTATGAATCATTGATGATCTTGCCTCAAATCTAGGCCCAAGTATAAGGTTCTGCTTATCAAACAAAAATAGTAGCAAACAGCAGAATCATTGAAGTGACAGCTACTTGATTCTCAGCCAAAGAATTGTCATTAGGCTTTTAGTCCTCAAATGTTTCATGGAAATAGCTGAAGTGAGGCTAATTTTAAATATCTCAGGGAGCTCAGTGAAAGGTCTTTCCTACTTGTACTCTCTGGTGCATGCTTTATATGGCCATTTGACATTTTCTTGCCCTCTAGACCCCACCTCCATTTGTTAAAATAGATTCAACAGTGACAAAGCCCTGTTTGGTTAATGTATCACTGTTAATTTATCAGTCTCAGTTAATTTACCTCTGAGGTCAAGTTTCTTTCACAGGACACAAATAAGGAGAGCAAAGATCATTCTGAGGCTAAAAGAAAGGAGACTGAGGGGCCTGGCACGGTGGCTCATGCCTGTAATGCTAGCACTTTGGGAAGCTGAGGTGGGCAGATCACTTGAGGTCAGGAGTTCGAGACCAGCCTGGCCAACATGGTGAAACCCCGTCTCTACTAAAAATACACACATAAAAAAATTAGCTAAGTGTGGCACCTGTAATCCCAACTACTTGGGAGGCTGAGGTAGGAGAATTGCTTGAACCCGGGAGGCCGAGGTTGCAGTGAGGCGAGATCACTGCACTCCAGCCTGGGCAACAGAGTGAGTGACTCAAAAACAAAAAAAGAAAAAAGAAAAAAAGAAAAAAGGGAATAGGCTGCTGATTTTTTAGCTTAGATCAGGGAGGGCTTGGTGAACTACAGCCCACAGGACAAATCCTATTCTTTGCCTATTTTTCTAAATAAAGTTTTATTGGAAGACAGCCATGCTCACTTAGTAAAATAGTGCCTATAGCTGGTTTCACACTATAACACTATAAGAGCAGAGTTGAGAAATCATGGCAGAGCTAATGCAGTTCACAAAACCAAAGATATTTACTTTCTGTGCCACTATACAAAGTGCCAACCCCTGATCACTAGAGGTTAGTGTTTAAGGACTTTCCTGGGTTTTGCTATCAAGCAAGTAAGTGCCCAAGACCCCTGAGCCTGTGGAATGAAGCATGAAACAAAGCTCCTGGAAATGATGGCAACAGGGCAAATTTGGCTTTTGCACACATCAGTGGTGAGCTGTCTGTCAGAACTCACAAACCTGGATGTACAGCTGACCCTTGAACGACACAGGTTTGAACTACACAGGTCCACCTGTATGTGAATTTTTTTCAAGAAATATACTGAGAAAATTTTTGGAGATTTGTGAGAATTTGAAAAAACTTGCAAACCACGTAATGTAGAAATATTGAAAACACTAAGAAAAAGGTATGTTATAAATGCATGAAATATATATATAGATACTAGTCTCTTTATGATTTACTACCATAAAATATACATGAATCTATTATAAAAAGTTAAAATGTATCAAAATGTGTGCACACAAACATGAACCATACATGGCACCATTTTCAGTTGCGAGAAATGCAAACAAAAGTTAAAATGCACTAGGAAATCATAACTGCATAAAAGTTACTGTAGTACACACTGTACCACTGTAATAATTTCCTAGCCACCTCCTGTTGCTATTGCAGTGAGCTCAAGTGTTACAAGTATCTGCTTACAACATCATGTGATTCTAATTATCTCTGAGTGAGCAGTTCATCTCTTCAGTAAATTGCATATCACAGTAAAAAATGATTTTTCAAGGTTCTTGCCTATTTTTCACTGGGTTTAGTGCAATACCATAAACATTGAATAACACTATGAGACCCATATGAAGTGCCTCTAGTGATGCTGGAAGTGCTCCCAGGAAGCAGAGAAAAGTCATAGCATTACAAGAAAAAGTTGAATTGCTTGATATGTACTGTAGATTGAGGACTGCAGCTGCGGTTGCCTGCCATTTCAGACGTGATTAAACTTTCAGACACGACTTAAACTTTCCATAACAATAGACACCATACAGTACTGTAAAGCTATTTTCTCTTCTTTATGACTTTTTAAGTAACACTTTCTTTTCCCTAACCTACTTTAAGAATACAATGCATAGTATGGTGTTATAAAATATAACATGCAAAATATATGTAAATTGGTTGTGTATGTTATGGTAAGGCTTTTTGTCAGCAGTAGGCTATTAGTAGTTAAGTTTTTGGAGAGCCAAAAGGTATACACAGTTTTTTTTTCTTTTAGATGGAGTCTCGGTCTGTCACCCAGGCTGGAGTGCAGTGGTGCGATCTCGGCTCACTGCAGCCTCTGCCTCCCAGGTTCAAGCGATATACACAGATTTTTTTATTGTGCATGTGGTCAGTGTCCCTAATCCCAGAGGTTTTTAAGGTTCAACTGTATCTAAATGTGGAGACGATAATTTTGGTGAAATTTCCTAAACGTCATTGCAAAGAACATTAGTGCCATACAAAAGATTGATAATTTCATGAAAAAGTGACTACCTAGGGGAAATAAATGTATTATATGCTTGGGCTAAGCAAAGTTGGAGAGTTTTCTTCACTCTAAGTCTTATCATTCACTAATGTATAATTATAGTTATTCGCTGATATATAATTATAATTTACTAATGTGGAACATAAGAGGAGTGTAATGTGCATGTTACAGTATTTCTCAATCTTACTTAGCAATAGAAACATATTCTTTTGGATCATCTAGAAATATCTTATGGGCTACATCTTGTCATGGAATACTATCTAGAAATCCTCTCCAGGGTCTCAGCACGCCTGAAATCTGTTTCCATTTTTCAATATTAATTGCTCCAGTTCTCTTTCCAGCTGGCAATGCTGATATTTGCTGGGTACACAACAGTACAGTCTGTCCAGTTGTTAAATGTCTTGAAATACTTCTTTACCAGCTGGCAAACAATAACTTCTCTGAACCATTAAATACACCCTATATCCCTGGCTAGCCTGGTTTCTCTGCTGAGATCTTCCAGACATCTGCACATTCTAATGAATAAAGGTTATCACTTGGCAGGGGTGTGGAGATGGGAGGAGGGGGTTCAGGATTATTCTCCAGCACTATCAGAGCCTGTGTCCTGTCTGGTCACTGCTCATACCCTACAGGTTTTTAACTATTTTGGATAAAACTCTCCAAATTCTAGGATGAGTGCATGTATTTTCTAGCCCACTATAAGTGTCTTGCCTGTAATGATACAGATGCCACAGCATCACTGAAGCCAAACAGATTATGTGGCACAACAAGTTTAGAAACATCAGGACTATTGTGCAAGTGCAAATGGGGAATTACAAGTTTAGAGCAAAGGCCTAAATTCTCACATAAGCACCTTATCTCTCCCAGCTGAGTAAATATAGCTTAATGCAAGTGACTAGTGATGACATCAGATATACCTTGAGTATTCTCTAAAAGGCAATAAAAAAGAGAAAAGATTGGTATTTCAATGACGATTAGCAACAAATTTGCGATGCATTTGAGAAGTGTTTGATCCATATTAATAAGTCAAGAAGTGTTGGTCTAATGGAGGACTCAGATAAATAAATAGTCATGGTAATATGATAGATAAATGCTGTGATGGGGAGAAGCACAGGGCTGAGCACCTCAACTGGACTTGGGCAGGGCAAATTAACCATGAAATATTTTTTGGAGGAGGAGACATGTGAGCCAAGTCGGAAAGTATGAGACGTTAGGATGAGAAGCAGAATGGAAGAGAGCATTTCCAATAGAGGGAACAGGGTATTCTGACTTCAGCTTTGCTTCTCATGTTTTTTCCTCTTCAATTCCTGTCTCAGAACTCAGTTCAAATTATTATATTTGTATATTTGTCTTATCTCTTCTATTACAGACACTATGACTTTTTGAGGGCAGAGTCTTGATCATCTTTTTATACACTCACTTTGTCCATTATATAAGCTTAAAATAAATTTGTAAAATTAAGTTGGGAAAAGTGTACATTTGTATTACTTAGGGTTGTCCCGAGAAACAGAATAGGAAGATGCCTGAATAGAAGCCATCATCGGTAGTCCCTCGCAACATGAACACTAATTGAATAACTACCAGCACAAAAAAACACACCTTCATAAGAACCAAAAAACCAGGTAAGCAATCACAGTACCCAATTTTAACTTCATATCACTGAAAGAGGCAGTGAAGTGGGTGGGAAAAGCAGTCTTTGATCACCAGTGCCATTCCTCTCACATCCCCTGGCAGTGGCTGCATGTCATGGTGAATCTGTGTGCTTGAGGCGGGGAGGGCACAGCGATTGTGGGACCCTGCATTGAATCCAGTGCTGCCCTGTCACAGTGGAAAACAAAACTGCACTAAACTCAACCCACACCCACCCACAGAGGGAGCACTTTGACCAGCCCTAGCCGGAGGGAAGTTGCACATCCTAGTGGTCAGAACTTGAGTTCCAGCAAGCTTTGCCAGGGTGGGCTAACATGCTCTGGGGTCCTAAATAAACTTGAAAGGTGGTATGGCTACAAGCACGGCAATTCCTAGGCAAGTCCTAGTACTGTGCTGGGCTCAAAGACAGTGGATGTGGACAACAACTGGGGTGGCCAAGGAAGTGCTTATGTCACCTTCCCTCAACCTCCTTCTGTTTAAGGAGAGGAGAGGGAAGAGGAAAGAGGATTTTGTCTTGCTTCTTGGATACAAGATCAGCCACAGCAGGATAGGGCACTGGGAAGAGTTTTGAGGACCCCATCCCGGTTCCTAGCTCTGAGGTAACATATCTAGAACACCCTGGGCGAAAACAGAACCTGCTGCCTTGAAAGGAGGGCTCCAGTCCTGGCAGTGTTCATCACCTGCTGACTAAAGAGCCCTTGGGCCCTGAAAAGCCATCACCAATCACAAGGTAATATGCTATGGGCCTTGGTTGGCACTCTGAGATGTGCTGGCTCCAGGTACCAGCTCAGCCACAATGCAGTAGGGCACCAAATGGGCTCTTGGGGTCCCTGATTCCAGGCCTTGGCTATTGGACAGCATTTCTGGACCTTCCCTGGGCCCAGAGAATGCCCACTACGCTGAAGGATGAGTCCCAGGCCTGGCAGCATTCACCATAAGCTGACTAAAGAGCCCTTGGGCATTAAGGGAACATCAGCAGTAGCCTGGCAGTACCCGCTGTGGGTCTGTGGTGGTGGTGATGGCCATGGTGGGGGGCCCCTCTGCCTATGAAAAAGGGAGGGAAGAGTGGGAAGGACCTTGTCTCATGGCTTGAGTGCCAGCTTCACTGCAATAGAATAGAGTACCAGGTAGATTCCTGGGGTTTTTGACTCCAGTCTCTGGCTCCTGGATGGCATCTTTGGACCTGTCCAGGGCTTGGGGAATCTTGACATTCTGAAGGGAAGAACACAGCCTGGCTGGCTCAGCCACCTACCGATTATAGAGCCCAAGGGCTTTAAGCGAACATAGGTGGTAGCCAGGTAGCGGTTACACTGGGCCTTGGGTGAGACCCGGTGCTATGCTGGCTTCAGGTCTGACTCAGTGCATTCCCAGTGCTGGTGGACACAGGAGTGCTTGTGTCCTCCTAGTCCCAGCTCCAGGTGGCTCAGTGCAGAGAGACTCTGCTTGTTTGCAAGAAATTAAGGGAAGAGAACAAGAGTCTCTGCCTGGTAAACCAAAGAATTCTCTTGTATCTTATCCAAGACCACCAAGATGGTACCTATATAAGTCTGCAGAAACCACAGCATTACTAGGCTTGGAGTTCCTCTAATGCAGATACAGGTTAGATCACAACACCTAAGACTCTTTGAATACCTGGAAAGCCTTCCCAAGAAAGATGGGTACAAACAAGCCCAGACTGTGAAGACTGCAATGAATTCCTAACTTTTCAATGTCCAGACACTGAGGAACATCTACAAGCATTAATAACATCCAGGAAAACATGACCTCACCAAATGAACTAAATAAGGCACAAGGGATCAATACTGGAGAAACAGAGATATGTGAGCTTTCAGGCAGAGAATTCGAAACACCTGCTTTGAGGAAACTCAAGGAAATTCAAGATAACAGAGAAGGAATTCAGAATTCTATCAAGTAAATTTAACAAGGAGATTGAAATAATTAAAAAGAATCAAGCAGAAACTCTGGACTTGAAAAATGGAGTGAACATACTGAAGAATGCATCAGAGTCTCCTAATAGTAGAATTAAAAAGCAGAAGAAAGGATTAGTGAGATTGAAGATAAACTATTTGAAAATACACAGTCAGAGGAGACAAAAAAATTAAAAAGAATAGAAAAGAATGAAGCATGCCTACAAGATCTAGAAACAGCCTCAAAAGGGCAAATCTAAGAGTTATTAACCTTAAAGAGGAAGTAGAGAAAGATATAGGGGTAGAAAGTTTATTCAATTGATAATAACAGAGAACTTCCCAAACCTAGAGAAATATATCAATATTGAAGTACAAGAAGGTTATAGAACACCAGGAGATTTAACCCAAAGAAGACTATTTCAAATCATTTAATAATCAAACTCCCAAAGGTCAAAGGTAAAGAAAGGAACCTAAAAGTAGTAAGAGAAAATAAATAAATAACATACAATGGAGCTCCAATACATCAGGCAGGAGACTTTTCACCGGAAACCTTACAGGCCAGAAGAGAGTAGCATGACATATTTAAAGTGCTGAAGAAAAAAAAGCTTACCCTAGAACAGTATACCTAGTGAAAAAGCTAGTGAAAAATATCCTTCAAACCTGAAGGAGAAATACTTTCCAAACAAACAGAAGTTGAGGGATTTCATTAACACCAGGCCTATCTTGCAATAAATTCTAAAGTGAGTACTTCAATCAAAAAGAAAAGGATGTTAATGAACAACAAGAAAGCATCTGAAAGTGCAAAACTCACTGGTAATAGTATGTACCCATAAAAACACAGAATATTATAACATTGTAACTGTGGTGTGTAAACTACCCTTATCTTAAATAGAAAGACTAAACAATGAACCAATCAGAAATATAAGTACAACTGTTCAAGACATAGTATATTAAGAAATAAATAGAAACAACAAAAAGTTCAAAAATGAGGGGATGAGGTTAACATGTACAGTTTTTATTAGTTTTCTCTTTGCTTGTTTATTCGGTGTTTTCTTCAGTTTCAAATAATGAGCTATAAGATAGTATTTGCAAGCCTCATAGTAACTTCACATCAGAAAACATACAACAAATACACAAAAAGTAAAAAGCAAGAAATTAAATTATACCACCAGAGAAAATCACCTTTGCTAAAAGAAAGATAGAAGGGAAGGAAAAGAATACCACAGAATAATCAGAAAACAAATAACAAAATGGCAGGAGTAAGTCCATACTTATCAATAATAACATTGAATGCAAATGGACTAAATTCTCCAATAAAAATACAGTAAAGTGATTGAATGGATAAATAAACAAGACCCAGTGATCTGGGTCTAAGATCACAAGCACAGGTGACCAAAGCAAAAATAGACAAGTGGTATCACATCAAGTTAAAAAGCTTCTGCACAGCAAAGGAGACAATCAACAAAAGGAAGAGATGACCCACTGAATGGGAGAAAATATTTGCAAACTACCCATCTTACAAGGGATTAATAATTAGAATATATAAGGAGCTCAAACAACTATATAGACATGTATCTAATAATCTGATTTTAAAACGGGTGAAAGATATGAATAGATATTTTCCAAAAGAAGACACACCAATGGACAGCGGTTATATGAAAAGGAGCTCAACATTACTGATCATCAGAGAAATGCAAATCTAAAACTACCACAAGATGTCATCTCACTCCAGTTAGAATGGCTTTTATGTAAGAAACACACTTCACCTACAAAGACATGCGTAGAATGAAAGTAAAGGGATGGAAAAAGATACTCCATGTCAATGGAAACCAAAAAAGAATAGGAGTCACTATACTCATACCAAAAGAGATTTCAAGATAACAACTATGAAAAGAGACAAAGAGGTTATTGTATAATGATAAAGGGGTCAATTTGGAAGGAAGATAGAACAATTGTAAATATATATGCACCCAATTCTGGTGCATCAAGATATATAAAGAAAATATTATTAGAGCTAAAGAGAGAGACAAGTCCCAATACAATAATAGCTGAAGACTTCAAGAGCCCACTTTTAGCATTGGAAATATCTTTCAGATAGAAAATCAACAAAAAATCAGACTTAATCTGCACTATAGACCAAATGGACCTAATAAATATGACAGAATATTTCATGCAATGGCTGCAGAAAACACATTCTTTATCTCAGTGCATGAAGCATTCTCAAGGACACACCATATTTTAGGTCACAAAACAAATTTTAAAACATTAAAAAAATTAAAATAATATCAAACATCTTCTCTGACCACAGTGGAACAAAACTAGAAGTCAATAACAGGAGGAATTTTTGAAACTATACAAACACATGGAAATTAAACAATATGCACCTGAATGACCAGTAGGTCAATGAAGAAATTATAAAGGAAATTGAAAAATTTCTTGAAACAAATGATAATGGAAACACAACATACCAAAACCTATGGGATACAATGAAGGCAATACTAAGACAGAAGTTTATAGCTATAAGCACCTACATCAAAAAAGAAGAAAAACTTTGAATAAATAGCTTATCAATATTTCTTAAAGAACTGGAAAAGCAAGAGCAAACCAAACCAAAACTTAGTAGATTTAAATAAGTAATAAAGATCAGAGCAGAAATAAATGAATTTGAAATGAAGAAAACAGTACAAAAATCAACAAAATGAAAAGTTGGTTTCTTAAAAAGGTGAACAAAATTGACAAACCTTTAGCCAGACTAACAAAGAAAAAAAGAGAGAAAACCCAAAACAAAATTAGAGATGAAAAAGGAGACATTACAACTGATACCACAGAAATTCAAAGGATCATTCATTAGTGGCTACTATAAGCAACTGTATGCCAATAAATTGGAAAATCTAGAAGCAATAGATGAATTCCTAGACACATATAACCTACCGATATTGAGCCATGATGAAATCCAAATCCTGAACTGACCAATAACAGGTAATGAAATGGAAGCTGTATTAAAAAGTCTACCAGCTAAGGAAAGCCAAGGATCTGATGGCATCACTGCTGAATTCTGCCACACATTTAAAGAAGAATTAATACCAATTATACTAAAACTATTCAAAAAAATAGAGGAGGGGTAATACTTCAAAACTCATCCTATGAGGGTAGTATTACTCTGATACAAAAAAACAAAGAAACATCAGAAAAAGAAAACTACAGGCCAATACCCCTAAAGAATATTGATGCAAAAATACTCAACAAAGTACTAGCAAACAAATTCAATAACACATTAAAAAGATCATTCATCATGACCAAGTGGGATTCATCCCAGGGATGCAAGGATGGTTCAACATATGCTAATCAATTAATGTGATAAATTTTGTCAACAGAATGAAGGACAAAAACCATATGATCATTTTAGTTGATGCTGAAAAGGCATTTGATAAAATTCAACATTCCTTCATGATAACAATTCTCAAAAAACTGCATATAGAAGGAATATAACTCAACATTATAAAAACCATATATGATAGACCCATAGCTAGTATCATACTGAATGGGGGAAAACTGAAAGCATTTCCTCTAAAATCTGGAACATAACAAAGATACTCACTTTCATCAGTACTGTGTTTTTTAACACAATACTGGAAATCCTAGCTAGAGAAATCAGACAGGAGAAAGAAACAAAGGGCATCCAAACTGGAAGGAAGAAGTCAAATTATCCTTGTTTGCAGATGACATGATTTTATATTTGGAAAAACCCAAAGACTCCACCAATAAAACTATTAGAACTGATAAACAAATTCAGTAAAGTTGTAGGACATTGGACTGGGCAAAGATTTCTTGAATTTACTTCACAAGCACAGGCGACCAAAGCAAAAGTAAACAAGTGGTATCACATCAAGTTAAAAAGCTTCTGCACAGCAAAGGAGACAATCAACAAAAGGAAGAGATGGCCCACTGAATGGGAGAAAATATTTGCAAACTACCCATCTTACAAGGGATTAATAACTAGAATATATAAGGAGCTCAAACAACTGTATAGACATGTATCTAATAATCTGATTTAAAACGGGCGAAAGATATGAATAGATATTTTCCAAAAGAAGACATACAAATGGCCAACGGTTATATGAATAGGAGCTCAACATTACTGATCATCAGAGAAATGCAAATCCAAAACTACCACAAGATGTCATCTCACTCCAGTTAGAATGGCTTTTATCTAAAAGACAGGCAATAAAAAATGCTGGTGAGGATATGGAGAAAAGGGAACCCTTGTACACTGTTGGTGGGAACGTAAATTAGTACAACCACTGTGGAGATCAGTTTGGAGGTTCCTCAAAAAATGAAAAATAGAGCTATCATAATATTCAGCAATCCCACTTCCAGGTAGATACCACAAAGAAAGGAAATCAGCATATCAAAGAGGTATCTGCACTCCCATGTTTATTGCAGCACTATTCACAATATCCAAGATTTGGAACCAACTCAAGTGTTCACCAACAAACATAATATGGTACATACACACAATGGAATATTATTCAGCCATAAAAACAATGAAATCTTGTCATGTGCAACAACATGGATGGAACTGGGGATCACTATGTTCAGTGAAATAAGCCAGGCACGGAAAGACAAACTTAGCATGTTTTCACTTATCTGTGGGTGCTAAAAATTTAAACAATTGAACGCATGGAGATAGAGAGTAGAAGGATGGTTACCAGAGGCGAGGAAGGGTAATTGGGAGGTTGGGAGGAAGTGGGGATGGTTAATGGGTACAAAAAATAATTAGAAAGAATAAGTAAAAACTAATATTTGGTAGTACAACAGGGTGACTATAGTCAATAATAATTTAATTGTAAATTTAAACATTATGGAAAGAGTATAATTGGATTGTTTTTAACACAAAGGATAAGTGCTTGAGGTGATGGATACTCCATTTACCCTCATGTGATTATTGTGTATTGCATGCTTTTATCAAAACATCTCATGTACTCCGTAAATATGTATATCTACTATGTATCCATGAAAATTTTAAAAAGAATAAGATTTATTTATTTATTTAGAGACAGAGTCTTGCTCTGTCATCCAGGCTGGAGTGCAGTGGTGCCATCATGGCTCACTGCAGCCTCAACCTCCAGGCTCATTCAATCCACCCACCTCAGCCTCCTGAGTAGCTGAGACTACAGGCTTGCACCACCATGCCCCATTAATTTTTGTGTGTGCGTGGGATTTTTTTTTTTTCTTTTTTTGTAGAAATGGGATTTCACCATGTTGCTGAGACTGGTCTTGAACTTCTGGGCTCAAGTGATCTGCCTACCTTGGCCTCCCAAAGTTCTGGGATTACATGCATGAGCCACCATGCCTGGCCTGATTTTATTGTATTTATTTATCACTTGAAAAAAATATCTCTATCCATTGCTTTGGGAGACCCACCTTATACCAGTAAAAATGAGGCTTTAAAAATACCCATTTTAAAATCAGATTATTAGATACAGTAAAATGGAGGTTTCAGTTCTTTTTTTAGGGCTTCCTAAGAATCTCCTTAAAGGTGTCCAAAGACTTCATACTTGAAGCATATAAAGTGGCTACCAAAAGAGTATATTACTGTGTTAGTTGCTGGCCTATGGGCATTAAGGTATGATTTTAGTTAAATCTCTTATGATTACCAAGTGAAAAAATCCATTTCCAACCATTTCATGCATCAAAGAAATTCAGTGTAAGTCCACTGAATTAACTCACGGATACACACCCAAGAAGTTAGGTAAATGTCATGAACAGGGCCTAGGTACTGGCCAGCTGTCAGGAACCCTGGTAAGGAGTTATCTCCTTCTTTCTTTGATTTTGTTTGGCTGTGTCTCCACCCAATTCTCATCTTGAATTGTAACGCCCATGTGTCAAGGCGGGGAGGGGGGGACCTGTAGTCCCCACGTGTTGGGGGAGGGAGGCGATTGGATCATGGGGGTAGTATCCCCCATGCTGTTCTCGTGATAGTGAGTTCTCATGAGATCTGATGGTTTTATAAGTGTTTGACAGTTCCTCCTTCACATACTCGCTCTCTCGCTCTCTCACGCTCTCTTCTCTCTCTCGCTCTCTTCTCTCTCTCCCGCTCTTGCTCCCTCTCGCTCCCACCTGCTGCCCTGTGAGATGTGCCTGCTTCCCCTTCCGCCATGATTGTAAACCTCCTCAGCCATGCGGCACTATGAGTCAATTAAACTTCTTTCCTTTGTAAATTATCCAGTCTTGGGCAATTCTTTATAGCAGTGCAAAAATGGACTAATACATTCTTCTTCAGTCTTTCCCTCTTTCTCTTCCTCTTCAGGCAGCATTTCTCGCTTTGGCAATCATATGGCTAAATACTACCACCCACATTTCCAGCTCATCAAGTTGCCCACTTGGATTGCTGGGTGTTTCTTAGTTCTAGGCCAAGATTGTGGAAAGATTTGTTTGGATCGTTTGCTTTCTATTCAGTAATGGATGTGGGAGAATGTCACACAGTATAGACATTGCTACTTTGATTTTCTTTGCTCCTCCGTGTCGATGGAATTGTCAGAGAAGCACAAAACTTAACTATTATGTTTGTGCCATTTGGTGTTAACAGCAATCTTTGCAGGCAGGAATTAGTATTTCCATTTTTTTCACCAGGCAACTGAGGTTCAGAGGGAAATAATTCCTGTAGATCATAAAGTTAAGACCCCAAATTGAGACTGTCTGACTCCAAAGCCTGTGACCTGTTCTTCTTATCTATTTCTTCTCAGTTTCTGGCTAGAAAACGATTTGCTGCAGAGGGGAGGTGACAACATATGTGGACAAAGTAGATCAACTACTTGCCTGAGATTGTAGGAGTTGTGATGGGTTGATTGCCATTCCCTACCTAAAGTGAACCAGAGGAAAACATTTTAGTGGGACTTGTCTTAAAGGGAGGTGGCAGAGCCCTTGGTTCAAAGTGGCATGGACTTGGATAATACTTCTGAGGTATCCACAGCACCTTCTCATTTCAGAATCTGCTTGCACCTCTGAGAGACCGGCTTAATCGTGTGTGTGTGTGTGTGTGTGTGTGTGTGTGTGTGTATGTGTGTGTAAATTTAAAAAGGCATTAGCTAGAAGTCAAGGTTAAGAAATCATCCTGATTTTTTTATTTTCCACTTTTAACAGAAATATCTTCATATATAAAGTAGAACTGCTTTATATTATTGACCAGTGCAAATCAGCTCCTAAGATTGTCTGCGTGGTATATTCACTATTCAGTCCCTGAAAAGCCTGAAAAACAGGGAAGCATATGGTCTTAATTATGGATTTCACTCATTCCAAGGTTTTGCTCTTTTTCACATAAGCAGGATTTTTTAGCAGGTTTATGACACTCAGTTAGACAAAGAACTACACTGCCTTGCCTGACTGCACCTCGCACTCAGTTCTCTCACCTTTCCTGCGTTTCCCCGAGGAACTTCTAATTATTTTTTCTCTCAACAGGCAGTTTTCTCCTCAGTCTGTTTCTCATCTTTTCAATGTTTTGTTCTTCATCCTTTCTTAATTCAAGGGGTACTAATGCATTAGCTTCCCTATAAATGTTACACATATTTATTTACCCTCATTTAATCTGAGTTTGTATGAAACGATTCGGGGATGTGCTTTGGCGGCACTGTTGTCAGGCACGTTTCTGCTGTTCCTCCCACTAAGCTCCTAGCCTTTCTCCTGAGGTATTTTTTTTAGCATATGTCCCGAAGTTGACATTGGTAAATCCTCCAATGAACCCCCACCATTTCTGTGACACTTCCAGACACCTCATCTGTCTTTTGCAAAGCAAGCAGGCAGCAAATAAAAGCTACCCAACTATTGCAAAATGCAAATTTTTTATCTGTGGGATCTGGGAATTATCAGTCAACACTTATCTGGGAATTATTGATTAAGCACTTATCTACACTGTCCTCAGCACTGTGTGGACAGTCCCAAATGTCCCCCGCCCCCATAAAATGAGAAAACACAATTCTTGTTCTGGCAAAAATTATAATCTAATAACGGCACTGTCACGAGAAGACAATGAACACTAAAAGAAGACAGAGCAAGTGCCAAAAGAAAGTATGGGTCATGAGGCACTTTTTGAGCCCAGAGGAGGAGGAGAACGTGTCTGCTCTGGATGGGCTGTGCCAGCCAGCCGGGGAAGGAATCAGTAAGGGTAAAGATAAGAAAATCTTGGGCATTGTTTAATACAACATGCTAAATGCTTTATCTAAGATGGAGGGATTTGGGAGAGGCTAGTGGGAGGTAAGGCTACAACAGGATTCAGGGCAATTTGGAAATAGGACTTAGATTAAAAAGAATAAAATCAAGATTTATCCTAAAGGCAACCCTAAGTTTAAATTCATTCAAATTTATAGTATGACCTCTCATTCTCCCTCTCTCTCCACTTATTTTATATATCTAGAGAATGAGATCTGGAAAATATTAGAAATTTCTTTATAGTATTTACCTTGATATTTAATATTTAAATATTTTTCTAATATATTTCTAATCAAATATTAGATATGTATCTAATCAAATATTAGATATATATAGATATATCAAATATAGACATATCAAAATAGATATATCAAAATAGACATATATCTAATCAAATATATTTAGGTGGTAAGATTTGGGATCATGCGTGGTTTTCTTTTTTGTATTTTTCTTTATTGCTTAACTTTATTTTTTTTTTTGAGATGGAGTTTCATTTTTGTTGCCCAGGCTGGAGTGCAATGGTATGGTCTCGGCTCACTGCAACCTCCACCTCCAGGGTTCAAGTAATTCTCCTGCCTCAGCCTCCCAAGTAGGTGGGATTACAGGCATGTGCCACCATGCCCGGCTAATTTTTTTTTGTGTGTGTGTGTTTTTAGTAGAGACGGGATTTTACCATGTCGGCCAGGCTAGTCTCGAACTCCTGACCTCAGGTGATCCTCCTGCCCTGGCCTCCCAAAATGTTGGGATTACAGATGTGAACCACCACACCCGGCCTATTGCTTAACTTTTTAAAATATTGAATGTGTACCATTTTTATGAAAACAATGAAGTCATCAGTGTAAAAAAATCGTAAATGTGAGGTCACTTGGAAGGAAGTTGCAAAATGATGTTCTAAGTCATATTGCCACATAGAGGGCAGGTCACAGACAGGCGGTACACCCTTTCATTACCCACAGTGACGTGATGAGAGGAGAAAAAAGTCTTCCCATTGAATTCTTTGTAAGGACCAAAATGGCTGAAAAGTTAAAACTGAAGTCTAATTTTTTAACATCATGGAAGTCAAGCAGGTGTCAATTGTTATATGAATTTTCTAACTTTTTAAAAAGAGGTCCTGGGTTTACACACCCAACAACTTTCTACTTAGCTGGCATTTTTCTATCAAAGAAGAAAAATAGGAAATAGCCAAACATAAAACAAGCACATTTAAGACACTTTTTAGCCACATCACTTTATTTGGGATTTCTCCATTTACTCACCCACATTCCAGAGGTCCTGGAAGCCTTGCCAGTGTGGTCCAAGCAGACGTTGAGTGCATGCCTAACTTTAGGGGTAGTGGACAACTGTAATATCATTCATCCCAAAACTAATGGTTACTGAAGTCCTTATACTGTTCACTGACAGTTTCAGGTCAAAGAAAGAGTTAACATAGACTCATATATATTTTAAGTCAGAAGAAGTCTTAGGATTTTGTTGTAATTATAAGGCATTTGATTGATTTTTTAGAAAATATTTGAGAAATTGATTTTTGAGAAAATATTTATTGGTTTATAACAATTCCATTAATTGCAGTTTCAGCTACATTGTCAGTCAAACATTTCACCAAAACATGCCTTCATAGATTACTACATAAATAAAGCCTGATACACATATCACTGTCAGCCTGTAAGGCTAGTGGCTATACCCCACTGCCAGCATTTTGTGGTGAGATAGAAATTTTAACAGTGGAGATTTGTTCTGCTTTTTGACAATATTTAAATTTGTATTAGTAAAACAGCACTTAAATGATTACATGATTGAGAAAGGATAAAAACTGACACACTTCTGGAAAACACACAAGATCGTAAAATTTAAATCCCAAAGGATCAATATATAGAATGTTGAGTGAGTGAAAACAGTATTACATAAGCCTCATAAGGACATTGTTCACTCACTGAAGAATTAATACAAAGAAAAACTCTACTAAATTTTTAAATAATTATCTGGATAGTAGTTTCAATTCTTTGGTTTGCTTTTTTAGTGAAAATTGTCCTATTTATAGAATAATTGCATTCTGGAGCTAGAAAGACCTTAGAAATTATTTCATCCAACTTTGCAAGGACTAGAGCAAATGACAAATCATCTATGAAGGTTTTTCAAATTCTCCAGTTAGAATTAATTTTTTAGAAAACTCATTTATGATGATAAAATTTATTAGATATTCACTAAAAAATTTAATGAATATAGACAAAAATCTCATTTCAATCTGTTCTATTTTTTCCAGAATTTCCCCACATATCTATTACATAAAGTTTTATCACAAAAAAATTTAAAAAATTGTAATGGAAGTATAGCATTTTATCATGTGGATGAACCATAATGAATGTAACAGTTTCACTATATTTTTGGAAATTTAGATTTTTTTTCTTAATTTTTATTATGACAAATGAAGCTATGATGCCCTCTTTGTATGCATTTCTGATTATATTTTAGGATTAATGTTTAAAGGTGAATTATTGTTAAATGGTAGGGATTGTTAATCTGCTTTCCAGAAAATATCCCCCATAGCGGCGTATGAAAATGGCAATTTGTCTTTCTTGACTATAGCACTTTATACTTTCATGAACAAACTAATCATGTTATTTCTGATGCTATAATTAGCTGGGACATGTCTACATCATTAGAGAGATAAGGAAACCAAAATTCAGACCATGTAGTTGAATTGCCTACGTTCACATAATTAGTGGCAGAGTTAAAGTTAGAACCAGGCTATCTTGACTTCCAATCTGGTGCTCTTTTGTTATAATTTCTTATGCACTCCTTAACTATGTGTATTATCATTATGGCTCTAACTATATTTTCAAATCCATTTTCTTTTAAGACATTTCTAGGTGGCTACTTAGATGCCAGAGTGCTTAGGGTTTTATGCAGTACCTTCTCATTGATTTAGGACCTTTCTGTGTTTTTTTTTTCTTCCCAATTCAAGTACCAGGAATTCTAATATCTTGCAACATCAGCATCATCTTTTGTGTTTGTTAGAAATGCAGAATCTCAGCTCTACTCAAGCCTACTGAGTCAGAATCTGCATTTTAATAAGATCCCTAGGTAATTTATAGACACATTAAAATTTGAAAAGTGTAGTTCTAATACATTTTGGTGGGTCATCTTTCCTGCAACATGGTAGCCGATTAAAAAAAAAGTAATGGTAATAGAAAAAATAAAGATATACATTAATACCTTGAATTGATGAATGATAATACCTTTCCCCAAAATATGACTAAATAGTTTCTATATAGTCATTACAAGTTAGGCCATAATAAGTAAGACTCTTATTTCTTATGTCACAATAATAAAAGATTTTATGCCTGGAAACCCATTTTTATCACAAAAGTAGCCAATTTTGATCATAAATTGAAAGATCATGCTATAAAATGGAAATAAAATATAAACTATTAGGAAAAACAATTATTTGGTAAAACCAAGCATTTTTTTTGTCTTTAGAGGATATTTCTGTAGGGACCAAATTGAAGGTTCCTTCATAAAACACACATCCAGTGGAGTCAGGAATAAATACAGATTATTTTCTTCTGGCAAAGCTTTGTGTTGCAAATGAAGGTATTTGTTGTTGCTCCCAACTTCTACATTTTATTCCAAACTCTGATACTCTCTCCTTAAAATGTTGTTACTAATTTGATGCATGTGAATGTTGGGTAAAGTCTTCACAGGGTGCATGCGAAGATTTAGGGAAGCCGTGGTATTCTTGGTTTACTTGTGTAGCCTCCTTCACTCTACTCCTTGGTGATTACAGCTGAGTTTTGCCTTTCCTTTGAAAGGCTTACGTGTGATAGGAAAAGTTGTAAATGGTTCGTAGGGTTTTAACAGATCCAGATCTATATTTTGACCCACCTCTCAGGGAGGTACAATGCCCATTGACTTCAAAGGAAGTTCTCTGAGAAGACTGATCTGGTGTCTGTGATGGAGGGAGTGGGAGCAGCTGTAGAGAGTACACATCCATGGACTGAGGTCTTCTCAGGACTTTCAAGGAATCAGAAAAATATGCCACGTACAAAGCTTTAGTCTTTCAAAGAGTTAGGGTAAAAAGACCCTTGAAATTTCAGGAAGAAAAGAGGAAACACTAGTAATTTAAAAATTATAGCAACTCCTAACATTTTAAAGTTACTTTACAGAATTTTTTTTTTTAAGTTACTTTACGGAATTTAATGAAAACTTGCTGTATGAGACAAAAAATATCTTTAGTTTCCAAAGACAAGATTCGTTAATTTGGACTCTATGAAATCAAATAACTCATTTGACTGTGAGCAGATTCCACACCCCTCAATAAAAATGTACCCCTGGACATTGATTCAACTTTAGTTGCCCTTCTAGAGGAAAGCAAGTTTCACTGCTTACTCACAAAACCTGTATCTTTTACATTGCAGCCCAAACTTCTTTAACTTATGGAATAATATTGCTACTTTTCAAAATGCTCTCAGAAAGGAAAAGAATAATTATAACATAAAAAATTTTAGCCAAAGGGGATTTTCTTCTTCAAACACTCTTTGTAAAAATTGATTTCTTCTTTATAATGTTAATAATCAATAAAAGCCTTTACTCAAACTCCCCAAAGTGCCCGTGGTAACCCAGCCCTTCGATAAATCTAGGGACTCTCCCAGGGGTTTCCAGCCCAAACCACCCCACCACTTTTATGATGATATATGAGGGTCATATACAAGGACTTACCCAACATCCTCTGAATTAAAAGTCATTGGAGCAGGTAGTTTAAGGAACAGATTTATAACAGGTTTCAAATGAAACAAAGGTATTCCTTACAGCTGTGAGCCATCTGCAACCAATTTTCTCATACTCAGGGTATATCGAAGATAAATATTCTCCCCGTACCCACCCACCCGCTCAGTACACTTAGAGACTCGTATAATATGCCACCCAGAGGAACCTTAACATTTCCAAAGCATACAGCTGCTCAACCTTACTTTGGCCTTTCTCTTGTAGTTCATATCGATTTCAAATCATTGCTACACTCACTGCCTAGATCCTTACATTGTTGTTTAATCTGAAAACGCTGGTTAGAAGAGTCAGGATCATTTTAATTGCCATAAGTTTCACAGCTATGACTGATTATTCACTGTGGTTGTGAGTAATATTAGAATCATAGTATGAATAATTTCCCATAAGAGTGCATAGAAAGATATGAATATACAGCGGTATATCCTAGTGGTCCATAGAAGGCTTGGATCTGACAGACATGAGTTTAAGGCTTTCTACTAGCTATGTGATCTTGGCTTCCATTTTTTTCAGCTGTAACCTAGGAATATAAATAGTATCTACCTCATAGGATTCTTGGGAAGATTAAATATGATAATGCATGTAAAATGCTTAGGAAGATATCCAGAAGGAATGTAGTACCAATAAAGATTAGTTATTTTTTAAAATAAGTAATAATACATTCAAAGTTACTTTTATTAACCATGATGATAAATATTAATCATAATAACAAGATACTAAGATTAGAATACAACAGGTAATCTCTTTGATCAATCACCTCATAATATTGCATCCTATACTACACAACACAAACTATTGTTTGTGTTTATCCCTGCATTTATTTACCAAACTGTCCTTCATAGAACATTAGCATTCCAAAAGATACAATAGGACACATATACACACACACACACACCCATACACACACAGTGGATAAAGAAGGTAGAAGAATCCTGGGTTGAATATAGTTAAATAGTCTTTCCTGCAGAACTTCCCAGAGTGCCTAGTATACTGATTGTCATTGCCGTTTTCAATATGATGGTGGTAGTGGTGGCAGGGACTATAGATTACATTGTTTCCTAATCTATTTATTTATTTAGAGATGGCAGAATCTTGCTCTGTCGCCCAGGCTGGAGTGCAGTGGCACTATCTCCACTCACTGCAAGCTCCACCACCTGGGTTCATGCCATTCTCCTGCCTCAGCCTCCCGAGTAGCTGGGACTACAGGTGCCCGCCACCACACCCGGCTAATTTTTTGTATTTTTTAGTAGTAACGGGGTTTCACCATGTTAGCCAGGGTAGTCTCGATCTCCTGACCTCGTGATCCGCCTGCCTTGGCCTCCCAAAGTGCTGGGATTACAGGTGTGAGCCATGGCACCCAGCCTCCTAATCTTGTTTTATGAGAGAAGACCCCACTCCACCACCCAGAATACCTATATATGTGGTTTATTTAATGGTCTGGACTTGGTGTGGTATAAACATGAAATACTTATTTTTTTCCATTATTGCCTTCAACTGCCCACTGGTGTCATAATGATATGACTGGATCTCACAGCTTTCTGGTCATTGTAGTGAAACAGTCCAGTTAACAGCTTCAGTCTCCATTCCTATGTAGTACTGTAGGCCGTTCTCTTCCCCAGCACAGGCATTCACAGTAGGGAGGGAACTTGGCCTGATCCTTTGCCTTTTCTCTCCTCCTTCTTCTGGGTTCTCTTTTATTTGTGTTGGGATAGGAAAGAAGCATTAATGGTTAGAAAGAGTAAATGTCCTTTTTAAAAAATAGATGGGAGTGCATGTTAATATACTATTGTATGTCATGACTATTTCTGGAAAACTAGTTAGCTGTGGAGCCCTATGTGTGATTTGGCATGACCGACATCCAAATGCCAATTCTCTCAGAGGGCCTTTGCTTACATTCTGTGGGAAGTGAATCATCACTACATAATCCCCTGATGATCTCCTGGATTGATCTCTTCCAACATCTCTCAGTTCCCACCTGCATGGTCCTCTTGCTTCTGGGGACCCCTCACTAGCTGGCTGCCCTCTTAGGTGCAGTACTGGTACCATGGCTCAAATCCAGCAGTCTTCCATGGGAGCCTATGTTGTTCACTGTCAAGCCTTGCCACCTTGCCTTATCTTCCTGATTCTCTTCAACTCAACTCAGATAGCCACAGGTGATAGACTAGCAAGTCCACTGCATGAATAAGCATTTAAGTACGGAATTAGATATCCATTGCCCCTTCTTAAAGTCGCTGCCAATTTCTAAGGGAATCTCTACTAGCACTTTCTTTACTTGATATTTGGAGTGAGGAAGCTACTTCTGTCTTCACAGGGAGGAGAAGGTAGAGCCACGGTCCTATCCACTTCAGGCCCCAAACTCTCGAACTTATGTGTTTTTTTTTTCTTCCTCCATCTCCCTCCTTATTCTTTATGCCTAAAAGATGGGGTTAGGCTTGTGTGATGATGGCAGTTATTGGAGGTAGTTTAGCTGCCACTTACTAAGCCTGAGAGATAGTGAGCATCTGGTCTCCAGTTGCAACAATTCTCTTTACTCTTCAGAATGCAGATTGTTCCTGGTTTGGGTCTAGTTAGCAGAAAATTCTGCTCAACATTTTGTAACAACTGTTAAGGTCTTGCAGGGCACTGATTTCAGTGCAAGCCAGTTCAGCAAATGCTGGATTGGAAGTTTCATGAAAACAGGAACTGTAATTGTATTGTTAAATTTTGTTTCCTTCAGTTCTTAACAGGAGCTCAGTGAATATTTGTTGAATGAACAAATAAATGAATGAATGACCTAACCTATTCATTAAACTGTAGCATGGATAAGAATCACTTTGGGAACTTGTTTTTAAATACAGATGCCCAGACTTCAATGGCAGATATTCTCACTTAGTAGATCTGGGGAGGGGTGGAATATGCTCTGAGAAATATTGCCTAGTCCATGGATAGATTAACCTTGTATGATTGAGTAACTGCTGGTTAATGATTGCTTAAATACACATTTCAAATGCATTTTTTCAGCAATTCTCTTTCGCCTGCATATAAATAAATATCAACAGACGTATTCAGGCACAAACACACACATGCCCTTTAGGAAAGAGTGAAGAGGAAATAAGGCATAGGATTGATAGTTGAATCAATGCTTTGGGACTCATGAATATATAGCTTCATGGAAAATGTCTCTGGGAAACCCTATAACCATTTCTGACTTTTACATGTAGGTGAAAGTTCCTTTCTTTATTATGATTAAATCATATGTTTATATGCTACAAATCAAGATTCCTTAGTTCCCTAGGTCCTTGTCTGTGGCAAAATCCAGGAAGGAGCCATGAATGGGAACTGTGGTGCTTCCATTTAGCAGGTGCTACCTGTTATGAGAATAAATTATAGATTTGATTCTCTAGAGTTTTCAGTGCAATGGATTTTACAAGAACAGAATACAAATTGTAACCCCAGTACTTCCCCATAATGGTCATCCTCATTGCAGGTGAAGAAAATACTTTTAAACTATACACCTGGGGTATGTGAACTCATAGAACTTGATTTAATTAGGAAAGATTTGAATAGACAAGGATAATATTTTTAACAGAAATGAACTCAAATAGCCACAGCTTACTCTATTTCATATATTTCTTTAAAATCTTTTTATTGAAATAAACATATACGTAGAAAAATGCATTTCACATCTTTGTGTTTACTCTCAGTTGCACAACTTCAGTTCTTTTAGAAACATAGAATACTTTAAAATATATTTCTTACTTGTAATGAAGTTTCAATGTGACCATGTAATAAACAGTTATAGAGGTCAGGTTGTATTTTGTAGATCATGCCATTTCCTTTTTTCTTTTTTTTAAATTTTAGATTCAGGGGGTACATGTGCAGGTTTGTTACATGGATGTATTGCATGATGCTGGGGTTTGAGCTTCAATTGAACTCATCATCCAAATACTGAACACAGTACCCAATAGGTATTATAGTTTTCCAACCCATGCCTCCCTCCCTGCTTCTCCTGTTGTGGGGTCCACAGTGTCTATTGTTCCCATCTTTATGTCTGCGCGTACCCAGTGTTTAGCTCCCACTTACAATAAAGAACATGTGGTATTTGGTTTTCCGTTTCTGCATTAATTTGCTTAGGATAATGGCCTTCTGCTGCATCCATGTTGCTGCAAAAAACAGGGGACAGGATTTCATTCTATTTTTACAGCTGCGTAGTATTCCGTCGTGCATAGGTACCACATTTTCTTTATCCAATCCACCGTGGATGGGCACCTGGGTTGATTCCACGTCTTTGCTACTGTGATAGTGCTGCAATAAAATGTGAGAGCAGGTATCTTTTTGGTAGAATGATTTATTTTCCTTTGGGCATATATGCAGTAATGGGATTGCTGAGTCAAATAGTAATTCTATTTTTAGTTCTTTGAGAAATATTCAGACTGTTTTTCCCAGAGGCTGATCTGATTTGCAACCCCCCTAGCAGGATATAAGCATTCTCCGCAACCTCACTAACATCTGTTATTTTGGACTTTTTAATAGCCATTATGACTGGTGTGATATGGTATCTCATTGTGGTTTTGATTTGCATTTCTCTGATGATTAGTGATGTTGAGCATTTTTTCATATATTTATTGGCCACCAGTCATGCCATTTACTGGTATTTTCTAGAAAGGTAGAGCACATTATTTGGCATTTTGCTATCTGATAAAGCTCCGAGAACAATCAGGCAAAATGTAAGTGAAGGAGGTCACAATTTTGAGGGTTCGAAGTGATAAACTTCTCAGGGCGAAAGTCAGGAAGAGCCCACAGGTTTCAAATTTATAAGTGATGAATAGGGCTGCAACAGCTCCTTTACCTCAAAGCTAAGCCTTAGAATGAGATCTATGACTATAAGACAGAAATCCAGGGTGATCCATGCCAAAGTGTTCTTAAATAAAAAGTAGAGACTCAAAGACTCATGGCATATGTAAACTGCAGGATTAATAAACATGTCTTCTCAACAAGAAATAAGTCAGCAAAATTGAAACCTTCTATCATGAAATGCAGCAAGTCACTTGGAGTTGAATAGTTGGCTGTGCCCCCCTCCTTTCCTTTCCTCCCATTCCCTTCCTGCCTTTCTTTCCGTCTTTCTTTCCTTCCTTGTTTTTCTCTCCCCTCTTCTCTCCTGTCTCCTCCACCCTTTCCTTCCCTTTTTTTTCAGCTCAGATTATTAATTTCTATGTGAACAACCTTAAACCACTTATATGGGAGAGACTATAGTCTAGATAAGCAAAGTAAGCCACTATTTAATCCTGAAATCCTATTGGAGAGGTCTTTTTAGAGCCTACATTATTTCTGGCCCCTCAGGGATATGTGTGAGAGTGAGAGAGGTTACAGGAGAGAGGTAACTTGGGAAAAGGATGAGGCCAGGCATTTTTAATCATCTTATGATGTCTACTGAGAGCTGGCTTATTTACCTGTCCTAAGGGTTCCCAAAGTTTTTATTCCTTTTGGCACTGAGCTCTACATACATCCAGAGTAATCGTAGAAGACCTGATTTGATCTAGATTCCAAGGATAGCCTTCAGACATCAACAGGAAATCTACACAAACTCTGTAATGCTTCAGAGCTGGTGCTGGGGCAAAAGACAGGTGTAGGAATCTACACAGGGGAGGACATGAATTCTCAGGTCACTTAACTCTGACTATAAACCCCAGTGGCTCACTGGTATTATCCAAAGCATTGCATTGTTTATTGGCTGTAAGGGGGTGGGACTTGGGACACTTATATATGGCATATTTCGATTTAACCACTTCCCAAACATGTTATGATAAAAATTGTTTTTTTTTTTTCAAAAAAAAAAAAGAGAAAAGATATCTAAGTGTTGTTCATCTCAAAACAGCCATCTCTCTGCCTGGACATAATTTCTGACACTGAAGCTAGACCTATTCCCCATTCACCAACCAAGCATTACCTTACACTGTGTTCTAATCCCCACCAGGACTCCAGCTGGTGCAGCAGAAAGGGATTAGCTTACTGACTAAGGGAAAAAAAAATAACCTTCTGTGGGACATAAAGCCATAGGTTTCAAACCTAGAGGATTCTTATATAATGCTGAGTGATTTGTGGATACGAAGGGGAAATTTTAAAATGTATTCCATCTTTAGTGCTCCTCATAACTGTTATGAATGAAAAAAATTCAGGCGCCCAGTGAAATGTTTTAAAATGTTCTCACTGGTTTCTTTGCTTTGATTACTTAATGGAAGTACTCATGCAACAGAATAAAAACACATAATAATGCAAGACATAATTATGACTTATAATTGCAATTATGAATCACTATTATGCATACATTTATGTGTCCCATATGCAGCTAATGGCTCTCTTTCAATGATACCCAGATACTTTTCTGCTGAATTAACACAAAGACATCTTGTATTTTTGTGGCTGAATTTCTTTTTAAAGTGTATTAACCCAATGGATTCTTTTAAAAATGTACATTAATTCACAGTTGTTAGGTGAGTTCCTAAAGGTCAGCTGCAGACTGATGATTTTATGACTATTCACAACCTGTGCTATTCCTCCTCATGATTCCTCAGATGAGTCTATGTCTTTAGGAACAAGTGGAGCTAGAAATAGTCTGGACACTAAAATGAATGTGGTACATTTAAGTGTCTATGTCATGTGTGTCCTTTTAAAACTGATAACATCTCTGAAGTTGCTAAATATATTTTTTGATTATTCACAATCTGAATCCAACAAGTATAAAAAGTTAAATATTATAAATTCAATAATTAAATGAAGCTTTTTATCAAACTGTTTTCTATCTCTTTAAGTGGGCCTAGCCTAGTAAGAGAAATTTTACAAAATTTTCAAATGTGTCAAATGCTAACCTTTGATTCTTGGCCCCAAGAATAGCTTTACCAATGTGTTTGCTCTGCATATTAGGACGGATTAGATAGCTTTGCATATGTTAAGTAAAAACACAGGGAAGTTAGGGGAATATTGGTAAACTCATAAAACTTATATGTTGATTTGTAGATGTATCTGCATCATCGGCTGAAAGTTTGTATTTCCCCAAATCCCTATGTTGTTCCCACTGTGATGTTATTAGGAGATGGTGCTTTTTGGAGGGAATTAGGTTTAGATGAGGTCATTAGGATGGGATCTTCATGATGGGATTAGTGACCTAAGAAGAAGAGGAAAGGGGGAGAGCTCTTTCTCCACAAGCCCACACTGAGGAAAGGCCATATGAGCATACAGTGAGTAAGCAGCTGTCTTCAAGCCAGGAAGAGAGCCCTCACCAGGAACAGAATATGCTGGTACCTTGATCTTGGACTTCTAGACTGCAGAAATGTGAGAAATACGTTTCTGTTGTTTAAGCCACCCAATCTGGTATTTTGTTATAGCAGCCTGAGCTCAAACAATCTGTTAAGAATATATTCAGTTATAAATAACAGAAAACTCTATGACAGTAGATCCAACATTAGGATTTACTTGTATTAGTTCGTTCTCACACTGTTATAAAGAACTGCCTGAGACTGGGTAATTTATGAAGAAAAGAGGTTTAACTGACTGTACAGTTCTGCAAGCTGTACAGGAAGCATGGCTAGGAGGCCTTAGGAAACTTACAATCATGGCGGAAGGCAAAGGGGAAGCAAGTACATCTTGTCATGGCAGAGCAAGGGAGAGCGAGCGAAGGGGGGAGGTACCACACACTTTCAAACAACCAGATCTCATGAGAATTCACTATCACAAGAACATCAAGGGGGAAGTCCGTCCCCATGATTCAATCACCTCCCACCAGGCCCCTCCCATGTCACAGGGGGTTACAAGTCGAGATGAGATTTGGTTGGGGACACAGAACCAAACCATATTGCTTGTCTCACAAAAATATTCAGAGATGAGTAGCCAGTGCAAAACATGTGTGGTCGCTCAGCAATGCCATTGTGACCCACTCCGCCATCTTTAACACTCAGGCCATTATTTCCATGCCTCTTGCTTTATAGTCACAGAATGGTGGCAGCACTTCCACACCTCCCCTCTGTGTTCCAAGTGTGCGCAAGAAAGTTGAAGTCTGTCCAGTTTTACCAATGAGACCTTGTCTTTTTACTTGGGAAATGTTGCTTTCACTAGGGATTTCTGTCTCTCATTGGCTAGAACTATGTCATATGATCACTTTGAGCTGCAAAAAACCAAACAAATAAAAAAGCAAAAACTGCATCCATCTATAGGTTCAGGGATCTTTTAGTTGAGAAAAAATATCAGAAACCTTGTACCTCTTGGACCACCCAGGATCCGTTCACATCTTCCTTTACATAAATATTCTTTATGTGGAATGCATTTATACCCTCTTCAAGAGAAGCAACCCCCAATTCCCAGGTACTGCTTTCTACTTGAATTCCAGGATTTCTGGCTGATATGTAGATCTCCCCATGAGACCTGAGTGTGGCTCCATTCTCCTGGGAGATTCATTACCCACGTGGGCTGATTTGGATGTGACTTGGGGGTGAATATGTGAGGCATCAGCAAACAACATCTAGCGTTTGTATCCTTCATGTCCTCTATAACTTGTGCACTGTTGTTTGCTGCTTTGGTAATAAAACTGAAATGAAAGGAACCTGGAACTGAGTCCAAGTCAGAATTCTTGCAAGCTTAGTTTCTACAAACTTTGTGGTCTGGCCTAATTCATTGGGCTAGTTGTGCCATGTCTACAAATCATCAAAACAACTGGTGGACTCAATGAAGAACAACAGAATCATGGGTTAATCCAGTCAGTATGGTCAATCTTGTAGCTTTATGTAGACACAGCTTCCAAGTTTTTGTTTTCTCATACACAAGCTCTTAAAAACGGTCACAACCAACAAACAAACAAATCTTAGATAGACTTACAACTTTCACCTCTACCTCCTTATAACATTTGGCAATTTAGAGAGTTATTACCAGCTTCTCCAGTCTTCCTGCAAAATCCCTACTTCTTCCTTAAATTTAGAAGAAAATGTCAGAATTCCGAAGGAGACTGCATTCCACATTCCATTTCATTGTAAAAACAGCAGTGCCATCTGATTTATGCTCCCTCTGTGACATGTAAAAGGAAGGCACTGCTCATAGAGCAACACATTAATTACCACCGCTGTCTTCTCTATGCACATTAGAGCTTTCTCTTAGTTTCTGATCAAAGGAAAAAGGAACAATAAGAAATGATTTGGAACCTGAAGCCCAGGAAATGAAGAATGTTTCGTTTGGAAATATCTCGCACAGTCGTTTTGAATCTATATCCCAGTCCTGGATTACTGGGGACTGATAGACCGTGGTTGTTCCTGTGTCATTCAATAAATGCAAGCAAATATTTAAAAGAATCCACTGTGACTGAATGTTGATTTGGCCTTAAATGTGGATATCGGGGAGCCTTTTAAGAACATGTAGCTTCTGGGCTCTTAAGATGTAAACGAGGCTTGAGCTGAAGCCGCATTTACTTTAGCCACTAGAGGGCAGCACGGCCCAGAAAGTGTAAGCAGGTAGATGTCACTTCTCTGCTTTAAAGGGTGTGTGAATGGTTTCTGGGGCTACAGCAGGTGGGAGGGAGCCCTGAAAAAGCAGACAACTAAAAAATAACCCTTACAATGACCCCCATGGAAAAGTTAAACAGATATGCAAAGATCGCTACATTTCTTTAGAAATCATGGTGACTAAGCAGAGAAAATTAGATGAATATACAGTACTTAGATATTTATCCCCCACACCAATAATGGAAGAAAAGGGAATCAGGTACTCGGCTAACCTGAGAGCAAGGTACCAAAGACAAGAAGAAAGGTCAAAGTAGAGTTTTACTCTTTTGAAGGTAATGACGCTTAAAAGCATTTAGAAGCTGACTGGCCTGGGTTTATATGCCAGTTCTAGCATTTACTCGGCTTTGTGATACTGAGCAGGTTATTTAATTCTCTCAGCTTCAGTTTGCTCATCTGAGAAATGTGGATAACCACAGTCGCTACCTCCTGGAGGGGTGGTGAGGCTTAAGTGGAGTAAGGCATATGAAGAACTCAGCTTATTAGCCCTTAGTAAATACAGGCCAGGACTATGGGTAAGGTGACTTCACAGTTCATTGTTGGGAATACATGTTGCCCTTCCATAGCCTTTTAAGCCTGAGTCTCAGGTTCCTGAGTGGGAGACAAAGGCCAGGAATACGTGGCCCTGGCAGAAGGAGGAAGAGGTGCCAGTGCAAACACTGTGGCTAACATGCTGGTCCTCCCAGGGTCTTACACAACCTGACATGTTCCAGGCAGGACACTGTGGCTGGCCAGGTGGCTGCATCCTCCAGCCTTCTCACAGAGAATAAGCAGGCTGGGAACCCAGCATAAAGGTGGGCTGAAGTGAGCAATAATGGCTGATCCCTGTCCCTCATCTTTTTACCTTTAAAATGCTCTGCCGCATTGGCAGGAGAGATAACAGAGTGGGTGGTTGAGCAGGACTGTCTGGCGGAGAAGGACAGCCCCTGGCTCCTGTTTTTGTTCTTTCTACTATTTTGGACTCTTCTTCTTAGCTCCTTCCTTTCTTACTTCTTTTAGTCTTGCTTCTAAAATGATCAAACTCTTCGTTCTTTTCTGCTTACAAGCATTTTTTTCTTTATTCGTCCTTTCCAACAGGTATTTATTGAGAACTTACTTGATGCCACATACTGGGAACACACTGGCAAATTGAGACCAGGGTTCTGCTCTAAGGAAACATTTTCTAGTGCAGAAAACAGACAGTAAACAAGTGAACGAATCTCTTTTGGTGAGATTTCTGTCCAAAAATTAAATTAAATCCAATATTCTTTATTAGTTGAGCAGTACTAATAGCATAAGGGTTGCATGAGAGAGACTGGGGGAGAAATCTGGGCTTCCTGGCATCTGGAGCCATACCAATCACTTGCTCAAATCTCAAGTGGTTGCATTTTTTAAATAAGGTACAGAAGGTCACTTTCCCCTCATTAATAATGTAATATGTGATGTGGAAGGGGGGACAGTTCTGGGAGTCTCAATAAACTCAGCCCGCTGCCACTTTGGTCACTCCGTCCTGTAACCCCTCAGCATGCTGCTGGTAACTTTGGCCCAGAGCCAAGGCAGTGGTTGAAGAGTAAGCAAAATTACTGGCAATTGGGACATAAAATTCTACCATGCTGGAAGAAATATAATTTTTATAACCAAGTATCTTTTCTTGCTAAAGACTCAATTTATCCTTCCTTTCATTCATTTATCTTATTCGTTAAGGACTTACTATATGATTGGTACTGGATGAACAAGGATAGACAAACATATATTCTGTCCTGTAACTTTCATTATATATAGAACCAGAATTTCCAATCATTCAGAGGCTAGGCCACTCATGCAAACACATGAATGTAGTTGAGTACTATTGCAAGCACAGTGGTTACTAACATTAGGACTTAGTGTTGGGTAGACAGCAGAGAGTAATGAGGTCAGCGGCAATCTAGAGCGTACTCTCCCAATCTAAAGGAGCCGATGTTAATAACTCTAGCATATCATTGCTATGTAGGAATGAGGGCCCAGTGTTGCTTAATCTTTAGCTTTTTGAAAGAAGTAGGAAATCTACACTGTTATATAAAATATACTATTTAAAAAATGTACTCATTTAAATTTTTGTGAGGAACAAAGTGCAATTATTTTAATTAAATGCCTATATTAACAATTAATATATTAACTAATACAGATTTCTTATTTATATTTATATAGATAACTCAGATTTTTGTTAGAATCACACCAAACATATCTATATATGTGCACTCTGATTATGGTGTACACATATATGTATAGACAGATATACAGATTTATAAAAATTTTGATTTTATGTATCTTTAAATCTGTCTATATCTAGATATCTATATCTATACAGTAAATTTGGCCAGTAAGAGTCTAGCTAGCATTCTCTATTTAGAGTAATAAAATTTAATATCATTATCTACTTCCATGAAAACATAGTCTATCTTTGACTTATTGACAGCTTGTATGAACTTAAAGGGCTTAAATTCAAAGGGCAAGGCAAATTGTGGCAGAGCAAGGGAAGAACAGATAAACAGACACATTCATAAGAAGGCTGTGTGAAGTGTCTCTAGTGTAAAAATGCCATAAGGAGAAATAAAATTCCACCTCGTTAGGTGTCATTATGTCCGTGGGATCTTCACAAATATGAATCTTAATTCCATGGCTTTACCTTCCTTAAACAGAAGTGGTCTAGAAAGAAAACAGTGTTCTTGTTGGGGAAGAAAATGATACATACTTAGTAAGCTGGATAAATTTATGAACCAAAGAAATGTAACTGAAATCATTGGGACCTCCTCACATGCCACCTCCTGAGTGAATAATGATTAGATAATTGCTTTTCACTCTAGGCAGAAGCCTTGTCATTAAAACTCATTAGCTGTCTTGCAATTTGCTTGCCTTCTGAAGAGAATTACTGTGAATATAGTACCTGAAGGGTCAGCTGGGCAGCACAGGGGCTGGCTTAGATACATGGTGGAACAACGGGAAAGAATATTAGGAAATGCAAAGCCAGCACATGTGTTATCACTGGCAATTTAGAACATAGCCTTCCAAACAATAATCCCAAATACTACCTAAAAGAGCAAAACCAGCTGAGAGAAATAGCCCAGATGTTTTCCTCTGCTTGTAAAAGAAAACACCACACAATAAATTGGGAGAGATGACATCAAAGTAGTCCAGGGTCTTAATGAAGTGAAAGATATCCATACGGCTTTTGTGCATTTTCTGCTGTACCATGGCATGAGCTCCTCTGGATCTGGCCAGCTCATATTGGAAAATACACATCTGGAAACAGTGTCACAAATGCTCCAAAAGCTAATTCTTTCATTGATAAGTAGTTGCTTCTTTAGGAAAAATGAAATAGCACAAGATTCTCAGTTAGGCAGATTATTTACCTCCAAGAAAAGTAAGGAGTTCCATGTATAATCTAAAATAACAGAACAGAGAGTAATCAAAGCAGACCTTTACCCTTTTGAGGGTAATGACACCTAAAAGCATTTAGAAGCAGACTGGCCTAGGTTTATATGCCAGTTCTAGCATTTACTCAGCTTTGTGATGTTGAGCAGGTTAAAGAACCAGTTAGAACATTGGATACGTCAGAGTCCTTGGTCTGACTTGTTTCAGTGAAGCCAGAGCGCTGATGTTGGATCTTCTGACATTTTGTGGATGTGTTCTGCTTAGATCCTCTTAGATCTCTAACCATTTCCATGCACACCAGCCGCGTTTACAATGGCCAATACCTGCTCTTGGGCTGCTGGGATCCACTTTGCCAATTGAAATACCTAGGAATTACCTATCCCCTAGGAGCATCATTACAGATTACTTAAGAGGGTAGGAATATGAATACCCCAGCTCTGCTTCCCCTTAGCAGGATAACTTGGATGTGTGTGTTTTATTCCATTTCCCAGAGCTTCCCAGTTGGATTAAACTCCAGCTGCCCACTGAAGGTAGCTGGCTTAATAATGTGCCTGTATTGACTGCCTTATTTTCTCCATCTCGTCTGTCCCTGGATCTCCCAAATAAACTATGTGTATTCAGTTCTTATTTCGGGGTCTGCTTCTCAAGGGAACCCCACTAACATACACCCCGACTGAAATAATTCCCCCTCTTTAACCTTCATATGGAAAGGAAACACATCTCAAAAGTGAGGGGTACTGCAGATAAACATCAGTGGAAGCTTTTTTGTTTTTTTTTTAAATCAGAATGCAGCTTCTTACTGGATGCATATCGTGATGACTTCAGAATTATTAACCCTTCACTTGCTCAGTGTCTCCCACATTTTCCTGTGCTCTGCTCTGTATGTAGTGTGGGAGGAATTCAAGTTCAGAATAAACTACTTGGCACTATCCCCTCCCCTCAAACAGAACATGGTGATTGTGGGATATCACAAGACACTCTTGGCTAAAGCAATTAAATATAGGGAAGATGAAACTTTTATGTTAAATAGGAGGTTCTAAGATGATATGTAAATCAAATTTTGGTCTAAGAAAAATTTAAGATTATTTATTAAAACTACATTTCCAGCCACAAGCCTCAGAAAAACAGATTAATAGGTCTAAGGTGTAAAACCCAAGTATTTGCATTTTAAATAAGTGTATCAGTTTTAAAACCTGGTCCCCAAATTCGTTGATGCTCCTTGTATGGAGAGCTGGATTCTGTCTCCTCTCCTTGACTCTGGGTAAAGTCACTCTTTAACCAAGAGAATATAGTGGAAGGGATGCTGTGCAGGTTTCTGGGCCTAGAATTTGAACAGTAGGTTCCACCTTTTGTCTCTTGGGATACTTATTGTTGGAACCAAGCCACAGTGCTATAAGGAAGCCAAGCAGCCATATGGTGAGGCCCTATGTAGGTTCCGGCCAACCACCCAGCTAACACCCAGCAACAAGCCCAAGACACATGAGTGAGAGAGTGGGCCTGCTGAGGATTCCAGCCCCTGGATGTTAATCACCTTCAAGCAGCACCTGCTGACTATGTGGAGCAGAGATAAGCCAAGCTTACCAATCCCTGCCCAGATTGATGAATGAATGACTCTTGTTTTAAGCCACTGAGTTTTGGTCTGGTTTGTTAAACAGTAATAATAACCAGAATAACAACTTATTCAGGTAACTCGCAAGTTTATGGCCCATGTACTTTGAAAAATACTCTTTCTGATAATCAAATGTCAGGAGATTATGCAAAAGGTACGGGGTAAAAACTATTAAAGAAACTAATGTGTTTTTTTCAAGATGGCTGACTTAGTGACATCAGGTGCCAGTTCTACTCGGAAAGAAGATCAAAGTTACTGGTGAATGGACAAGTTTCAAATGGAAAACTGAGGGAAGAGAACCAGAACGTGTCAGAGAGCACAAAGGAAGAAGCTGGGCTGCAGAAAAGGAAAGCAGCAAGAATACGGCAGAGATCAGCCCCTGAGGAATGTGGAGCCCTGCAGAAAGAGTAGGTGGGAGTGCTTCTCTGCTTCCCTCACCCCTCTGACAATCTGCTGACCACCAACTGTTGGGGAGCCCCTCTCCCCTGGTGACCCTGAGCAATGCTGTTAGTGGCAATTTGGGAACTTTCCAGGGACAGAGACCTGGGTGGCCAGCTCGTGTAGGTGTGCCCACACTCTCTCATACCTGAACTGAGACAGCAGGTGCCATACTGGTTGTGCACCATAGTGGGCCACCGCCCTGGCCAGGGATTCTCTGCCGTCGAGTCGCCACGCCACCATACCTAACAACCTGCTTGGACTTTGGCAAGCACAGGGGACAGTGGGTCCCCAGGAAACTGCAGAATCCCTGGAAATCTAATGGTCTGCATGGGCCCCCCTAAGGGAGGGGGGAGTACAGCCCACCAGGGCCTCCCTTGGGACAAAGGAAACAGAGGTGTGATGGCAATCAATGAAGGGGACAGCACTGATGCCTGGAAATGGAAGTGGAGAGGGGGACTTGTCCTGCCCACTGCCCCACTCCCGTCCTCTGTTGCAGACACAGCAGTAGCTCTTCTCACTGGGGGTGAGTGTGTGGACATGCGGAGAAAGCATTTTTTGTGCTTTTCATGCCAGCTCCACCCCCCACTGAAATTGACCCTATGCCACTTGGATGCCAAAGGACTGGACCCAGCTACTCCTCCCTTTGCAGAGCGGCAATGTCTTGGCAACAGAGGACAGAAAAATTATGGAGCTGCCTGCACTG